>NC_000013.11:85133094-85285935 GCF_000001405.40 Homo sapiens
GGATGACTGCGGGCAGGCCTGGATAATATCCAGCCTCCCACAAGAAGCTGCTGGAGCAAAGTGTTCTCTGACTCCAAGGGAGACTCCCTTTTGCTCCCTTTTAACCTGTCTGTTAAGTAACAGGTGCCTTCCCAGGCACTGGCGTTACCGCTTGACCAAGGAGCCCTCAAGTGGCCCTTATGCGGGCATGACAGAGGGCCCACCTCTTGCCTTTTTGGTCACTCTTCACAATGTCCCTTTAGCTCCTCACCCTATACTCGCCGGTTATTCCTTGGTAATATGAGTAATACAACAAAGAGTAATATTAAAGGCTAATGATTAATAATGTTTATACTAATGATTGATAATGTCCATGATCATCTCTATATCTAATTTGTATTATAACTATTCTTCATTCTAACTATTTTCTTTGTTATACTGAAATAGTTTATGCCTTCAGTCTCTTGCCTCGGCACCTGGGTAATCCTTTGCCCACAGACACTGGGTAATTTATAAAGAAAAGAGGTTTAATTGGTTCCTGGTTCTGCAGGTGATATGGGCTTCTGCTTCTGGGAAGGCCTCAGGAAACTGACAATCATAGTGGCAGGTGAGTAGGAAATGGACACGTCTTCACATGGCCAGCAGGAGACAAAGAGGGCGAGGAGGGAGGTGCTACGCACTTGTTTTTATTTATTTATTTATTTGTTTATTGAGACAGGGTCTCGCTCTGTCACCAAGGCTGGAGTGCAGTGGTGCGAACACAGCCTATTGAAGCCTCAAACTTTTGTGCTCAAGTGATCAATCCTCCCACTTCAGCTTCCTGACTAGCTGGGACCACAGGTGCATGCCACTGTACCTGGCTAATTTTTTGTATTGGTAGAGAAGAGGTTTTGCCATGTTGCCCAGGCTGGTCTTGAACTCCTGGGCTCAAGCAATTCACCCAATTCAGCCTCCCAAAATGCTGGGATTACACACATGCACCACTGCACCCAGCCACTGCACACTTTCAAACAACCATATCTTGTCAGAACTCACTCACAAAAGAGCAGCAAGAGGGAAGTCGGCCCCCATGGTCCAATCACCTCCCACCAGGCCCTTTCTCCAACACTGGCGATTACAATTTGACATAAGATTTGGGTGGGGGTACAGAGCCAAACCATATCAAGAGCCTAGCAGAATGGAGATCCTTTTCTTTCTTGTTAAACATTCTTAACTTCTAAAGTCATAAGGTATTGTATTAGTTTCCTAAGTGTGCTCTAACAAATTACCACAAATTTGGTCATTAAAACAACAGAAATGTATTGTCTTACAGTTCTGGAGGCCATGAAATCCAGCATGCCCAGGTCCTCTCTAGCGGATCCAGGGAAGAATCTGATTTTTTGTTTGTTTGTTTTTTATTTATTTTTTGCTCCTTTTAGATTCTAGTGGTTGCCCTGGCATTCTTGGGCTTGTAGCCTCATCGCTCCAATCTCTGACACCATCTTCACATTGCCTTCTCTGTGTGTGTCTGCATGAAATCACCCTTCACCTTATAAACACACTTGTGATGCCATTTAGGATCTACCTCGATAATCCAGGATACTCCAGGATCTAGCTCTTTCTGTTTAGTTTATTTATTTTTCATTTTTTTTAATTTCTTTTATGAGATGGAATCTTGCTCTGTCACCCAGCCGGAAGTGCAATGGCACAATCTTGGCTCATTGCAACCTCCACCTCCCAGGGTGAAGTGATCCTCCCACCTCAGCCTCCTGAGTAGTTGGGTCTACAGGTGCCAGCTGTCATGTCCAGCTAACTTCTGTAATTTTTGTAGAGATGGGGTTTCACCATATTTCTCAGGCTGATCTCACATCCCTGGACTGAAGTGATCTGCCCACTTCGGCCTCCCAAAATAGCTCTCTCCTCAGACTTTTAACCTAATCACACCTTTCATCTTACAAGACACATTCACAGGTTTTATGAATTTGATGTGGATATCTGGGGTAGGGGCCATTTTTCTTTCTGACACAGGTAGGATAAAAACAAAATCCACTTACTGGAAGAAACTTAGATGTTACTATTTTGACAAGAGAAAAAGGAATTATCTTGATAATTTTAGTTGATCAAAACTCACTACAGTTCAAAATTACTCCCTGTATCTTCCCTCATCCCAGTTTCCCTGTGGCATAGTGGTGAAGCAAAGGCTATAGAAGACATTGGGGAGTTTTTCAGCAGACAAACTACCAGTGTTCCCTTTGCCATTTGTAGTCAGACTTTCAGGATCTTATCTTTACTAGCTTTTGGAATTAAATATATTTACATCTTTCCATAAACCATTAGGAATGCTGAAAATAACATATTCTTGACCTGTGATGTCAAATCATAAAACAGCTAGGTGTATACATGAGATAGGAAAAAAATTACATTGCTTTCTTCATTATGTCTTATTTAAATATTTATATTTGATAAAACTAAGCCCCATGTAATTATGTTCCATTATATCATTTTAGCAAAAATATGCTAATATATTTTGAAAGATATTATGTGCAAGACGCTATTCTTAGAATCTTCCTGTATTAAGCCACGAAATACACTCAGCAACTCAATGAGGAAGGATGTTATTATCCTCATTTTTCACATGAGGATCCTAACATGGAGAGATGCTGGGGGTGGGGAGTAATGGTACATTCAAGTCAATCTGCACAAAGTCCTACAAGATTTTCTAAAACTCAGGCTTCTGGGTCTGCCCTCTTGATTACTGCACTAGACTAAGGGTGAAGTTACTGAGACCAGTAAAATGAGACATATTTCTTTAATAGAAACATTTCAACTTATTTATTTGGAAAGAAATGGATGTAGCAACAGCATTATGCTGATTTGTCAGTCAAAGACCCCTTGCCTCCCCAATCCTAAACAGTGAATAAGTCTAGTCATTCTGTTTTCTTCAATTTTACTGTTAACTCTATATAAAAATTAGATTGAAATGTTAATTGTCATAATTTTACACTTAGTATTTATTACATTTTTTACTTAAGTAATTTGCAGGACCTATCAACATCATAAAAGAACTTTAAAATTTTAGAATGCAATGTATTCATTTTAAAAACTGATTTGTTTTAATATTACATATTGCTTCTATCTTATAATGATGTAAAATGTATTCACATGCAAAACAGTGATTGTGAACAATATGATATATGAAATTAAATAAGGAAGAAAAGTAATTGTTACTGGGTTCCTATTATATGTCAGGCACTTTTCACTGTAAGGTAGAGTGGATGAAGTAGTCATTTTATAATCTAATACACACACATATGCATATATATTAAAAGGGAGTATATATAATAAAAAAAGCATATATATACACATACATATATATAACACATACACACACACCCATACATATGTGTGTACATAAATGTTTTTAGACATATAAATACACATATACACATATATAGACATATATATACATACATATACATATATATACACATATCTATGTCTAAACCTGTAGAAAAAACATATATATGGGTGTTTTATATACACCATATATATATATATGTTTTTTCTACTGGTTTGCTTTATCTGGAGATCCCTGACTGATATAATAATTTAGCTTGCTATGTAAATCATATACAAAAATACATATGTGTGGATATATACATATACATATGTGTGGATATGCAAAATATCTTATGTGGGTCAGCATAAGAATCTCTCTCTATATATATAAAATACACATGTGTATTTATATAAACACATATGTATAGGTGTGTGTATATGTCATATATGTATGTGTGTGTGTGTGTGTGTGTATACTTACATATATATAGAGAGAGTGACTGATTTTGTTTATCTAGTGAAGGGTGGCAAGTTCAAAATCTGTAGATCACTCCAGCAGTCTGGACGCTCTAAGTCAGCTGATATTGCAGAAATTCTTATTTCTCAGGGAGCCTAAATTTTGTTTTCTAGACCTTTAACTAATTGGATGAGACCCACACACATTATGCAGACAATCCCCTTTATTTAAGTCAATTGATTGTGGAAGTTAATCATATCTACAAAATACCTCAATGCAAGACCAAATGAGTGTTTGAATGAATAAATGGGCACTATAACTTACCATCTTCATAGATTCAAGTAATGACCACACCCATTTTTCTTTATATGGAGGAATACATTTATTTATTTAAAACTATGTGCTCTCGTCTACCGTTATATTTCCATCACACCTTTGCTACACACTAAAAAGAAAACAAACTGGTGAAATACTTTTACAAATTAGTATCAGTTTTCCTTTTCTACTTCATATTCTTCTTTTATAATTTTCTAATGTGATTTTTTCTCTTCCTTAAGAGCAATAGCTTGCAAATCAAAGCTTGCAATCAAAGCTTCTGTTAAAAGAACTAAGCCACAGCAATTCTTTTGTAATTCTAAGGAAAAAAAAATGACAAGGATTTTGACAGTTTTACAAAAAGGCACATTACACCTTGTTCAGGCATCCTAATTTTTTCTTCTTAGATTAAACATAATTGGGACATTATTGCTTTAAACCATGCTTTTCTTGTCATATAACATTTAGGACTAGCCTGCTGTCTTTGTTCAGCAAGCTTTAAACATACAAAGATAAGATGTGATCTGCTCCATAATGACTAATTTTAACAATGAACTGTAGGAGGGTTAAATATAGGCATCAGCATGCCATTATATATAATCAGTAACAGTGGGTACAGTAAGAACATGGAAAATAGCTGGAGGATAGGTTTATTATAAGCATCGTGGCTTGAACAAAGTGGAAAGAATGTAATGTTTTGACTGATGGAGTCTCTCTATAAAGTGCCTATGGAGATAAAAAAGCTCAATTAGCTTCAATCTTGTCTACATCTTTAGTAGACATGCACACGGCTTTAGGGTTTGCCACAATAGAAAACAAAAGAAGAAACAACCTTCTAAATGTTATGAATAAAGTTGTTTTTTTGTAAGACAAATAAGTATGCTATTCATGTCAGAACATGATGTCTTTGAAGCAGCAATATTTGATAATATTCACAACCAAGTGAGGGTCATTCCCAGATTATGTTCATTTAAGTTTGAATTGTCTTTTCATTTGACATATAAGAATTGGATTCTCTTTAAATCTTTTTTGCAAAAATAATTGGCCGGCAATTCTAAAAGTTTTAAGCATTTCTAGTAATTTTGCTAATGCTTTCTTCCCTTAAAAAAATAATAAAACTAAGATAACTTTCAAAGAAACATATATTTTTGAAGAAAACCGAAATGAACAAACAAAAAACAGCAACATTCTGTATTTTTGTCACCTTAGCACCACTAGGCCTGCAGATAGTTCTGATGCTTAACACACGTTCTTTCTTCTGCATATCCTTGTGAAAGTCAATGATAGAGAAAGCTGCCTGATCTCTAATTCAACCCCCATGTCTATTGAATGATAGTCTTCCCTTTGAGTTGGTTTTGTAACTAACATTATGCTTTTAGAAATTCAGACTGTCTGACTTGGTACCCTCGCTTCAACATTTCCTAGCCAGGTGACCTTAGGAAGATTATTTAAGCACACTCTGCCTTAGTGTCATAATTTATAGAATAGAGAAATTTATAAACTCTAGCCACATAGAGTTTTTTGGAGTATTATTTTCTTCTTACCTTGAATTTATTCCACTTTAAGTTCCTTTAAGGTATTAAATATTTTGCTCTTTTAAGCAGTCCTAAATCCTTAGGAAAGTAGGTGCATCATAAATCATGGATGGCCTATTTCAGACTAGCTCTCTCCAAATCTGTGGATTAAGGCTATTCTTAGTTAGAGTCCTATCAGATGTTTTTTTCTGCTTTCTTGAAGTAGCTTCTTCTTCACTATTTTATGTCAATATTGTTAAACAATAGCTGATACATTCTAACAGTTATTATGTGATGGGCATCATTCTAAGAACTTTTTCCCATCTTATAATAAACATATGAGTAAATACCTTTTTATCAGTTTTTTAAAGATGAAGCAACTAATGCTTATATGCTAATACCACTTGCCTAAAGACACATGGTTAATAAATTGAAGAAAGAAAATGTTATTCAAGCCAATCAGGCTCTGCAACTTCCTGTCTTTAAAAGATTCTGTAGCAAAGTCTTCATAGCTGTTTATGACATTATATATTTCCTCTTCTTCTTTTATAATAAAATGTTTTATTTTTATCTGGGCTAATGGTGACCTAAAATAAGATAGCACTCCCCACTTCCATCTTGCATATCAAATGGCCATGTGATAAGTTCTGCCCTGTTAGACAAAAGCAGACGTGTCATGTGATATCAATCAAATTTCTCAACAGAGAAGTGTTAAAATCTTACCTTCCTCTGACTTTCTGTCTGTGCTATGTAATAAAGTTTTGTGATCCTAAATGTATCAAAATGGAGTTACTTATGACAACTGACTCAGCCCACAGTGGAACTGCCGACCCCTCAAAGTGAAAAACATGAATAATGGACTGAGGCAATGATAATGCCTGCTGTGCCCAGGCACCCCCAAGACCAAACAAGAAAGTGAAGCTAAAAGGTGGCTTACATAATGACCATGGACATTCCTATGGAGGGCCATAACACATCAAAGAAACCAATCATGGCCAGGATGCCTGCAGACGCTCTGCCCATGAAAACTCTGAGGCCTCCTCTCCTCAGACGCCACAGAAAACTCTTCTTTGAAAGAGCAGTGAACCCCCTCCCCAAGCCCTGTCAGCATGTCATGGGAAATCCAGAGCTGCCCAGCTCATCACTCAGTGTGCTGCTCTCCCATGCTACTTGCTGGGGCTTGTTACCCCTCCTCTTATTACTGACTGTGTCGGGTGAATGTGTACACGATTGGTGGTGTGTAAAAGTCTTTCAATAAACCTTCAATTCTAAAGCATTTCATTGGCAACTGATATGGTTTGGCTCTGTGTCCCCTCCCAACCCAAATCTCACCTTGAATGATAATAATCCTCGCATGTCGTGGGAGGGACCTGGTGGGAGGGAATTGAATCATGGGGGCAAGTTTTTCCTGTTCTGTTCTCATGATAGTGAATGAGTCTCAGGAGATCTGATAGTTTTATAAAAGGGCAGTTCCCCTGCTCATGCACTCTTGCCTGCGACCATGTAAGACATAACTTTGATCCTCTTTCACCTTCCACCATTATTTTGAGGCCTCCCCAGCCATGTAGAACTGTGAGTCAATTAAACCTCTGTTTCATTATAAATTACCCAAGTCTTGGGTATGTCTTTACTAGCAGCATGAAAATGGACTAATATAACATCTGAGTCATTGTGAGGAGTTACCACAACCAGGCTGATTGAAACCTGACAGGAGAGTCTGGAACAAGAATGCAATGGGTGGAGCTTTAGGATTGTTAACCAAAAAGTGACCAAGCCAGATGCCTCGAATGAAAGAGGTTTGTTTAGTCAAAGACTGAAGATGCAATGGGGAAAACACAAGTTCAGGAGCCTCTGTGACCTGTGCTTTTTCCAAAGAGGTTTTTGGGGACTTCCATATTTAAAGGGGAAAGAGTAGGCAGGAGGGCAAAAAAGAAGGTAGGCATGAGGCAAATGGTTACATTATTGTGAGGTTCTGATTAGGGCTCAGTAAATCTGCAATTTACATGTGAAAAGAGGGAGCAGAGGAAAAAGTCAATTATGCATTTGCCTGGTACTCAGTACATCTACATTTTACATAAGATAAGGATGTGAAAAGAGGGAGTAGAGGAAAGTCAATCATGCATTCCTCTCAGTGTAGTTGGAAGGATGATTTCTGATCTTGTTCTTGTCCTGTACCTATGAAGATAAGCTAGTAATTGACATCGTCAGGGTGAGATTCAACAGAACTCAGTTTCAGGGCTAGTTTATAGGTGGGATATGGATCTTGAAAGATTTCTGAGGGAGGGCATCGAGGGAGATATGTGACCTTCTACTATTGTGGGAACCTGGCTTATGGATGAGACTATGACATACATGAGGCTAACAACACAAGGGTTGTTAAATGACAGCTATCTGTCTGGGAACAAAAGGAAAGTAGTATTGCATGACTCAGTTCCCAAGCTTAACTTTCCCTTCAGTATATGTGAGTTTGTGTCCCAAAGATTCGATTTTCTTTCACAGTATTTATCTTGGCCCATAAGGTGGGAGCCAATGTTTAGGAATGTCAGAGTAAAACAGATGGAAGGAAACAAATTATATGGAACTTAGTGTCATCATCTACCTATATGAAGATTCTCTTTATGTGAAAAAATAAGATATTGTTAATTAATAACACTGACTTTATCTATTACATGCAATCTAATAAAGTTCTGATAGAATGCTTTACATTTGGTCTGAAAAAAATTAGATCTGACAAGGCACATATGAACTGCAGACATGCTTTGCTTGGGCCAGACACTCTTTTTAAAAAAAAACAGTATTTCACATGAAGTTCCAGATTTTAGGCTACTCCTGGGATATTATATCCAGCAACACTGAAATAAGCATGCATTTTATTGTGCAGCCCTGTGTGCCAGCTTTCTGCGTCTTTCATTCACTTGCCTTTCTCTTAAGCCTTGAAAGTGTCTGCCAATTGAATACAGCTGTCGTTGCTGTTGCTGTATCAGCATGGGGTCACTTCTTTGTGCAACTTGCTTTAATGTGCTACTTTGGATTAATACCCCCAAATAGTGCTAACTAAAAATAATCTATCAGAATCACTAATGATTTCAAAATATGGAATAGAGTGCATTTGTTTGTTCAAGAAGATCTAATATAGATAAAATATTCCTCAAAAGTGAAAAGTGTGAGTAAAAAATGCAGGGATATAAAATGCCTCCACTTTTCTTTGAAAAGTAAATCATTATTTCTATGCACTATGCCTACATATTGGGCTCACAGCAGTCCAATAGGAGTTGTATCTAATTAGATTTTCTATATGCATAAAACGCATTTTAAAAACCTGTGACATAAGACATATCCCACTAGCTTGTAACCATGCTATAGAAAGACAATGATTTATTAAGAATATAGCACATAAATTGCTTTAATTATACTTAGAAGCAGCATGATACCCAAGTTCTAAAAAGGAAAAAGGATAGCAGTGTCCTAGAATGAAATTTAAATATGATTAACTTCTTCAAGACTCATTCATAGTTGTGTCTACTCTTGTTTGTTTTCAGATACTCTTTAAGAAAAGTTAACTTCCCCCTAACCACTCTCATTTAACTGCTCTTCCTGGTAGCTGTTATTAATTTGATAATAGGGACTCCAAGTCTATGCAAACCATTTCCATACTATGTTTTAGATAACAAGGGAACAATTTGCATAGGTTGAAAAATTTGTGAAGTGCTTTCACAAGCATTAATGCCTTTGGTTGTCATAAAAATAGTGAGTACTTGGAAGTGTTTATTTCTCATGATAAGGAAATATTTCCGTAAACATAGTCCCTTCTCAACTGGCTTTGATTTACTCTTCTACATGCTAGACAAAAATTTCCTTCAAATGCCATTATCATACAGCTCACCACTTAGAGCACTTCAGTATAATTGCATCTCAAGAGTGAAAGGCTTTTAGCGATTTATGTTTAAGAATTAGCTATGGGGAAATTTTTCTTATTTAAACACATATTAAAGCTAGAACATAGCTTTTTCCTTTTGTGGGCTGGATGACTTTCTTGCAGCCAACTAATGAGGCACTTTTTTATAAAGACTACATCAATCTTTAATATAGCTTATCTTGATCCTAGAGGTGAAGATAAAAAGATATTAAGTGGTTCAACCAGCTTCTTTATTATAGCTGTAAATTTAAGGAAATGCATGTTGCCATAAAAAGGAACAAGGAAAATAACCTTACATTTGTGAAAATATATTGAGTTGCCACAAAATAAGAACTCAGCATGAACTGATGATAACATAAATGATTTGAGGTTTGCAATGGAGATACAGCTTTTATATGGTACACATTTTATCGTAGAATAAGACAAAACATATCCTAAAGCCCACTACTTTTGGAGAAAGGTAACACAAAGCCGTTATCATTCACTGGCAATAAGCAATGAGCATTTGATTGTAATGATACACTCAAGTCATCCAAAAGAAAAGTAAAAACATGAAAATAAATTGAAAGAGAAAAAAATTGAAAGAATAGTTGAGACATTTTAAAAAAGGAGAGAAGAGAAAAAGACTGAGAATAGATGTAGATGTTTTAGAGTAAGGGTTAGCCAAGCCATTAAAAAGAGAGTCACTGAATATTAAAACTATGCACTTAGTTCATATTTTGTGAAAGTTTTGAAATACACATTTTAAAAAGCATGCAATCTTTTCAAAAACAGTGGTTATTTTTCACTGAATAAAGTAATAGTACATATGTAATTTTTCTAAAATTATAGGAAATTTTTCCCAAAACATTATTTATTTATTTTTATTATTTATTTATTTATTTTGAGATGGAATCTTGCTCTGTTGCCCAAGCTGGAGTGCAGTGGTGTGATTTCAGCTCACTGCAACCTCAGCCTCCTGGGTTCAAGCGGTTCTCCTGCCTCAGTCTCCTGAGTAGCTGGGGCTACAGGTGCATGCCACCACACCCAGCTAATTTTTGTATTTTGGTGGAGACAGGATTTAACCATGTTGGGAAGGCTGGTCCCCAACTCCTGACCTCAAGTCATCTGCCCACCTCGGCCTCCCAAAGTGCTAGGATTATAGGCTTGAGCCACCATGCCCAGCCTATTTATTTTTGAACATTAGAAAAAATATAATGTGATTATAGAGTTCTATAAAGCAGGGTTTTGAGGTTAATGGAGTTGTGGATATCCTGTTAAGCAAAAAAATGTATTATGTTTTCAATTTATACATACAAATAATAGATGTAAATGGACTAAACTGATGAGCAGAGGGATAGACTAATAGAGTAGAAGAGATTCAAAAACGTTGAGAATTAGAGAGATGACTGTAGTTTAAGAGATGCCTGTTCTATCTGAGGCACCACTATGCTCAAAATGACTTTATATCTATACACAAACTGATGGTGAGCATGATAATAATGAAGATTCAAATGACTGAGTTATAGAGACTATTCATTTATTTATACATTCAACCAGCTAAGCATTCTAGAGTCTATTTTTCCCCATATGAAGCAGAGGATGATCACTGCTGTTCTAATCCAAAGAATAAAAATTGTAATTATTTATAAGGAGCAGATAATCCAGCTCTGATTAAAATTATTGAACTACAATCCTCCTTTGGTACCTGTGGGGAATTGTTTCCAGGATATTCTGCACATACCCAAATCTGCAGGTACTCTAGTTCCTGCTATAAAATAGCATCATATTTGCATATAACCTATGCATATCCTTCTGTATGCTTTAAATAATTTTTAGATTACTATAATAATCTATAATTATTTATAATAAACTTAATATAGTTGTTATACTGTATTGTTTAATACAGTATACTGTATTAAATAGTTGTTATACTGTATTGTTGTTATACTGTTGTTAATAGTTGTTATACTGTATTAATAGTTGTTATACTGTATTGTTTAGGAAATAATGACAAGAAAAAATCTGTACATATTCAGTACAGACACAATTTTTTGAACATATACATGTATTTTTAGATTCAGGGAATATATGTATGGATTTGTTACATGAATATTTTGTGTAATCCTGGGGTTTGGACTTCTATTGAACACACCGGCCAAATAGTAAACATAATACCCAGTAGGTAGTTTTTAGTCCTTGTCCCCCTTCTTCTTTACCGCTTTTTGGAGTCTCTACTGTTGATTAGTGGTTGATTAAATCCATACACAGGAATCCACAAACACAAAAGGCAAACTGTATTCTAAAAGAGAATGTTGTATTAGCAAGAATAAAGGACTTGCTCATGTAAATGCCTCTCACCACTCAAAGATCAAATGTGAAACTCAAATATACCTGTTTTTGGTGTCATAATAAACATATTCTCATACTTAATTTAAGATTTTGAATTTGGCATAGAAATTATATCAATCATGATGTCAAGATTTAATATTTAATATTAAGTAAAATAAATTACAAATTACCACATGATTCCATACTTAAGAAAATGTTGCTTCTCTTTAAAATTTGATATTAAAATTTGATAAAATAAAGTATTAAAATTTGATAAAATAAAAAAATAAACTGAACTGAAATACTTTATTCAATGCATTTTTGACTGGAAATATATTTCATAAATAAAATGTTTGAAAATACTATACCAAAATATCTTCATATTATTTCTATTGAGAGAACAATTTTTATGGAATTTTACCTTATAGCATAATTTCAAAGAGATTATCTGTAATTTATCTTTGGTCCAAACATATAGATTTTTCTGAATGTAAAATATATATATATATTTTTTGAGACAGAGTCTCGCTCTGTTGCCAGACTGGAGTGCAGTGGTGCGATCTTGGCTCACTGCAACCTCCACATCCCGAGTTCAAGGGATTCTCCTGCCTCAGCCTCCCGAGCAGCTGGGACTACAGGCGCCCGCCACCACGCCCGGCTAATTTTTGTATTTTTAGTAGAGACAGGGTTTCACCATGGTGGCAAGGATGGTCTCGATCTCTTGACCTTGTGATCTCCCAGCCTCGGCCTCCCAAAGTGCTGGGATTACAGGCGTGAGCCACTGCACTTGGCTGTAGTTCAATTTTTTTGAGCCATAATATGATTTTAGAGACTAATGTCATAGCAAAATTTTAAAATGATAATTATTTTCATTGATTTTACAATATGCTCACACAAATATTGTTTGGTTTTGTGGTTGCAATAGATTCTTTTATAAAGAAGCTTCTGTTCACAGATGTGTTCACACAATCCTGCCCATTTAATAGTGAATTTAGTTAATTAAAATTATGTACTCTTACTCTTTTAGTTATGTTCAATAACTGGTTCAAACATCTGTAAAATGTTAATTAAATTTGACATGTTTTTAAAATAACTATGCTGATAAGTTTACAGAGCATTTTTATAATTCTAATAGAGAACTTACTGATTGCACATAAATGATGGGATTACCTAGGAACAATCTGAGTTATTTGCTTACAATTTATTTTTTTGCTATACACTGTTTCATTAAATTTTAACAACAGTAACTCTGAGAGGTAGTTATGATTCACTCCATTTCCAACTGATAGTCAAATGTCAAGGCTATGTCCTCAGTCAGCCTTATATCTGGGAACAGGAACAGAGACCTCCAGTCTCCAATCCAATATTTCTCCACTTCACTTTGCTTATACAGTGAAACTGATTAAATGATATATGCATGATTTTGTCTCTAAAAAGTTGCACTTAATTAAGCAATAAAATATCTTCATAAGAAACAAAAGACTATCATCGAGTGTACAAAATTGTTACATTGTCCAATAAATCAGTAGTTACCAAAATTTTTAATTATTTGCATCACATCAGAGCATGAAAATGATACATCATTTATTAGAGAATACACTCCTCCAACACACACATAAATACTTGCAAAAATAAAGATATTTTTATTCTGTTAAAGTTTAATATCGATTTCTGTTTTATGACTTCCAAATTTTTTGTCTAAAAAGAAAGTAATAAAATATTCAATCTATCATTCAACATATGTGAGTGTTTATGCAGTTAAAGAAAATGAGCACACAGTAACTTGTGAACAAATCCAAGCTACTGCCTTACATACAAAATTAAATTCACCAGGGTAAAGTAGAATGGAGAGTTAAATATGGTAATATAATCTTTCTTTCTCTACTTTCTCCACACTCCCTCATCCTATTCTGTCATCCTTTCTTCCTTTCTTTTTTCTTAGTCCTTCTTTTCTTCCTTTTTTCTTGCCTTCGTTATTTCCTTCCTTTTTTTATTATTCTTACTTTTGCAGGTGTTTTGAAAAGCAAATGTATTTGCTTCTACTTTTCACGTTTCAATTCTATAACTTCTTTAAAATAAAATGTTACCCATTTCTCATGAAAGTAAATTTAATTTTTATTACATTAATTTTATTTATTTATTTATTTATTTTGAGACGGAGTCCTGCTCTGTCGCCTGGACTAGAGTGCAGTGGCGCTATCTCGGCTCACTGCAAGCTCCACCTCCCAGGTTCACGCCATTCTCCTGCCTCAGCCTCCCGAGTAGCTGGGGCTACAGGCGCCCGCCACCACACCCTGTTATTTTTTTGTATTTTTTAGTAGAGATGGGATTTCACTGTGTTAGCCAGAATGGTCTCGATCTCCTGACCTCGTGATCCGTCCACCTCAGCCTCCCAAAGTGCTGGGATTACAGGAGTGAGCCACTGTGTCTGGCCATATATTAATTTTAATTACGTAAAAGCTAAAGTTTAAAAAAAAAAAAGCAACTGCCATCCCAGAACCTGTAGATAAACATTTTATATATATACATGCATAGATAGATATATGGATAGGATACACAGATAGTGAGAAATGAAAAGAGGATCATACATTATTTCATTACTCTGTAATTTGTTTTTATCTATATTAATAGGAACTATTCTAAACATCACTTAAAATAGCAATGCTAAGTATGCAGCCATTTAACTGATCCATTATTGCAAAAATTCAAAATGATTCTTCTTGTTAACCACATTGCGATGGCCATTACTATAATTACATATATGTGCACATGCATTCTCATGTCTTTAAAGACCTAACAATAGACAGTTTTGGTCAGATTAAAATAAAACGTGGTATTTAATATCTATTTTCAGATTGGTATCCTGAAAGTTGTACCAATTTACCATCTCTGTCATTCATGAGAATGTCCAACCAAAAACTGTTCAGAATTTTGAGTGGTATTATCACATACTATACTCTCACTAAATATGTCACAGTGGTGCACAGGTTCTGAGACGGTCCTCAGTGATCCCTCTCATGGTATTCAGGCAAGATGGATAATCCCCACCCCTTCAGTGTGGGCTACATCTAGTGACCCACTTCTCTGGAATAGAATAGTGCAAAAGTGATTGTATGTGACTTACTAGGTTACCAAAACACCATGGCTCTCATCTTGCTAGCATTTTCTTACACATTCTCTCTTGCTTGCTGTGCTGAACCCAGCTGCCATGTGTTTCCTGCCCTATGGAGAGGTACATGCTGCAAAGAACTAGGACAGCCAGCAAGGATTCGAGGCCTTTGTTCCAACAACCCGAAATGGAATCTTGCCAACAAATGCATGAGTGAGCTTGGAAGCTAATCCTCCCTGCTTAAGCTTGAGCTGACTGCAGTCCTGGCTGATACCTTGATTGCAGCCTGTGAGACCCCGAACAAGAGGACCAAGGAAAGTCACACTCAGATTCCTCACCCAAATAAACTATGACATCGTGTTTGTTATTTTAGGGTCTAAGTTCTAGGGGTTATTTGTTACACAGAAAAAGATAAATAATACAGTTGTCGAAAAACAAGAAACTTTTTTTAAAATGATTTTGAGATTTATTTAAAAGTTTTAACTTTTATACATGTTTCCTTTTATTTCTGATTTACTAATAAATTTTCATAGTTCTGCTTTCTTGGATTAATTTATAAAATGAATAATTTCTACTATATTTTCAACTACCTTTCTGATATTTCACCTAAATCATAAAATGTTTCTCCCAGTATTTATTATCATAATAAAATATCTTAGCTGTAATTTCAACAATGTGAGGTTGCATACAAATTTCAGTTACATAGATAATTAATCTGTAATTTAATAATGTGGCTTAATGAATTTTATAATTTAATGTTTAATTTTTTACTGTTTATTTAAAATTTTAATTTTATGAATTATAACATGTTAAACTCATGTGCTGTTAAGAAACAACATTTTAAAATGTGTTTGTATATGTATTTGTATGTGTATAATTGTCACAATTGCAAAAACAAATAATTATCGGGAGAATGTGAACAGCATTTGTATATACCTAGATGGTCAGATTGTGAATGATGTTATATTTTTTGTCCATTTTTAATGTCTATTTTTAAAATTTTGACAATATGTATGCAATGTGTCAGACCAAAAAACATAACAACAAAATTAAAACGTAAATAAGGAAGGCTACAAACAATCTGTTTATTTTGTTTTATATTTTATTTTATTTATTTATTTTTTTCCAGTCAGGGTCTCGCTCTGTTGCCCAGGCTCTGCAGTGTTGTGATCTTGGCTCACTGCAGCCTCAACCTCCCAGGCTCATGCAATCCTCCCACCTCATCCTCCCAAGTAACTGGGATTACAGGCCTGTGCTGCCATGCCCAGCTGACATATATATATATATATATATATATATATATATTTTTTTTTTTTTTTTTTTTTTGTAGAGATGGTGTTTTACCATGTTGCCCAGGCTGGTCATGAACTCCTGAGCTCAAGCGATCCGCCCACCTCAGCCTCTCAAACTGCTGGGGTTACAGGTGTGAGCCACCACACCCAGCCAAACAATCATTTTAAAATTTCTTATTAAAGCATATCTTTTTTCATATAATTTTCCTATAAATGATTCCTACAAAAGTATTTCCAGAGTCCAAATTATAAATATGTATGGAACTGTAATTTAATGTCTGATGTATTAAAAGATGTGTATTCCAGAATACATATGTGTATATATATATATATATATATATATATATCTTTAAAATTTTTTTTTTTTTTTTTTTACTGAATTGACAAATTTTTTGTTTATTAGTTTGTGTTTTAGAGATGGGGGTCTCACTATGTTGCCCAAGCTGGACTCAAGCTTCTGGGCTCCACCAATTCTCCTTCCTCAGCCCCCCTAGAAACTGGGTCTACTGAGCTGAGTAATCTCAGCTGCAGTAAATATACTCCTCATTATAGCACAAATTTAAAACTTAAGGCATTAAACATGGTTTTAAAAATCTTAGATATTTTCATGTAAGAGAAAGAATTCACATTACTATTTTAAGTCACATTTATATGACCACTTATGATTTATAACATATTTTTAAAACTTTTTGGCCACATTTCCTTTTTCTCTTGCCCAAATATATATTAAGTATGTAGTAGGCTATTTTAATATGTATTCCATTACAGTCTTTTTAGGATTTTTATTTTAGCATTGTTATTCAAGTGATACTGTTTTATTATTGTTTTTCTATTAATTTCTTCAATCTTTAGAGTCACACATTGAATATTTTAATAAATGAACTGAATGTTTCTTTTCCTAGAATCTTGAACGCTATAAAAACTCAAATTATCTACTTTTTGAATTTACTTTTTGATATTTCAATTAATACAAGATTACTGATCTGTTTCAGTTTTTCTGCTTTGTTTCTGTAACCCTTTAGTTATTTCTGCATCTTATGAAGATGTACAATATATACATTTATTTTTTAATGCTTTATTTCATCTTATGGTTGTCATTTTGTTTGTGTTTATATTTGAGTTTTTAGATTTTTTTTTCCTGTCTTATCCACTCTTACCTCCCATCATTTCTATTTGGAAATGTGCCATTGCTTTCCTATTTTGCTGCAAATTGGAAAGCATAGCTAGGGGTTTTCATTATTTTTGATGCTTCAGTTTTGTTTTAACTTGGGTTAGCAGAATTTAATTATAAGCTATGTTCCAACGATTGCATATGTAAGATGTTTAAATTAAAAAAATGCTTCTTACAATTATTAAAAAAATGCTTCTTACAATTATATTAGACTATAGAATTTTTCTACTAACATTGTCATGAACCTTATTCTTTATTTTGTGGCATTTATTATTTATGAAGGGAAATATGAGGTAAGTTTAATGCTTATTTTTCTACAAGTATACTTTTTTATTGCTTCTATTATTTTAGAATAATTTTAATATTATTTACATGAAATTTCTATGCCATTTCAATAATGGTTTCACAAAGATGATTATTTAATGGTTGACTCAGACCTATTGTTAGGTGTTAATAATAGAAGTCTTTTACCAAGCACTTATTATTTTTTAGGTATTGTATTACAGCAGTCATGTTCCAGATGTGTTCCACTGACCATCACTGGTCCATGATCTTTGTTTTGGTCAATGAAAGTGTATGCACAAAAATTGAATATAACATTTGAAAATTGCACAGAAACTTGGCCAGCTTGGTGGCTGTCTCCTGTAATGCCAGCACTTTGAGAGTCTGAGGCGGGTGGATCACTTGAGCCCAGGAATTTGACGCCAGCCTGGCCAACATGGCGAAACCTTGTCTCTACTAAAAATACAAAAATTAGCCAGCCATGGTGTGGGGAGCCTGTAATACCAACAACTCCAGAGGCTGAGGCAGGAGAATTGTTTGAACCAGCGAGGGGAGGTTGTAGGGAGCCGAGATCGTGCCAATGCACTCTAGTCTGGGTGACAGAGTGAGCCTCTGTCTCAAAAAATAATAATAATAAAATAAAATACTTAAAAAATTGTATGGTAACTTGACACAAAAAAATTACAGATTGAATATTTAAATAATCTTTAGATAACAAAACAACAGATTTAGAAAAAATTTGTTCTACTTCCATCTCATATTTCTTTTCCATTGTCATAGTACTGTCTTAGACTTATGCTTATACATAAAATATAAAGTTATTATGTGTCCACATTAGGTAGGTCACTGGAAATCCAAAGATAATTTAGAATGCATGTGTAAGTAATCTCCTGTCTGCATGCTTCTCGCTTTTTTTTTTGCCTTGAACTCTTACGCCCCGTTAATATATGACTCTTTGCTCTCTTTCCTCAAAGTGCTTGTGTTCAATATTAAATACTTTCAATAAAATGCTTTTCATTAAAATAATAAATAAATTTTCATAAGATTTTAATTGACCAAATTGACTTTAAACCTTATTTTTAGTAGGGAAACTTCTTTTTCAAACAAAACCTCAAACTAATCTCTAATAAGAAGCTGAAGTGCATTCATCTATCAAGTTACAGTACTGGTGATGAGCCCTTCCTTCCTACCTTCCTTCCTTCCTTCTTTCCTACCTTCCTTCCTTCCTTCCTTCCTCCTTCCTTCTTCCTTCCTTTCTCCTTCCTTCCTTCTTCCTTCCTTTCTCCTTCCTTCCTTCTTCCTTCCTTTCTCCTTCCTTCCTTCTTCCTTCCTTCCTTTCTCCTTCCTTCTTCCTTCCTTTCTCCTTCCTTCCTTCTTCCTTCCTTCCTTTTTCTTGCTCTGTTGCCCAGGCTGAAGCAAGCTATCCTCCTCCCTCAGCCTCTCAAGTAGCTAGTACCACAGGAATGCACCACCACACCTGGCTAATTTTTAATTTTTGTTGTTGTTGTTGTTGTTTGTTTGTTTTTGTTTTGTGGAGATGGATTCTAACTATGTTTCTCAGGCTGATGTCTCAAACTGCCTGACTCAAGCAATCCTCTCACCTTGGCCTCTAAATTGCTGGGATTACAGGTAGAAGCCATGATTCCCAGCCTCAACATTTCTGCTGATTTATTAGTTTTTCTTTATTTTCGTTGCCAAAGAAACACTCACAAAATCACACCACATCATACATATTCTGTTTCCATACATACAACACCACCAGCATGGCTAACAACATCTAGGACTCTGAAAACTGTTTCTAAACAGTTTTTACTTTACTATATATGATATACTCTTAACCTCCAGGGGTAAGTTGCGTGTGGTGGTGATGTAGGACCATGAAACATGAATGGGACCACAGACCAGGTTTGCCACAAACAACCGCATTCTGCATTTGTACAGTCTGCTAAAATTACTGTATTTACAATATTTTGAGATAATTATTCGAGTTTATAAATATGTGAAAATTCTAGGCAGATATTAGGTGGTCATATACAAAGATGACTGGTGAAGATTAGCATAATATAAGATCTGTGGCTTTAAATAAACTTTTAATTTAAAATAGTCTTACGTTTGATGG
Organism: Homo sapiens; assembly: GCF_000001405.40. NCBI lineage: Eukaryota > Metazoa > Chordata > Mammalia > Primates > Hominidae > Homo > Homo sapiens. The sequence goes on from NC_000013.11 coordinate 85,152,877, forward strand.
AAAATTGCAAAAATAGAAAAGTATCTATACAATACATACCCAGTTATTTTTAATGACTATTATCATTATTGATATTTTACATCCATTATTAACATCTCACATTAGCATGGTACGCTTGTTACAATTAATGAACCAGTATTGAAATATTAGCAGTAATTAGTGCCTCTACTGTATCAGATATCCTTAAGATTTACCTAATGTCGTTTTACTGACCCATTCAGGACACTACATGACATTTAGTTGCTTTGATTCCTCAAGTTTATACTGGGTATAACAGTTTCTCAGAATTGCTTATTTTTGGTGATCTTGACAGTTTTATGAAATTCTGGAGAGATAATTTGTAGAATGCCCCTCAATTGGAACTTATCTATTATTTTCCTCATGATTAAATTGAGCTTATGTGTTTTGAGGAGGCAGACCACGAAAGTGACGTGTTCTTTTATCACTTGTATCAACAATATTAATACCTATTATCACCAAAACTTATCACTATTTATGTTAACCTTCATCACCTTCAACCTGGTTGATGTAGTGTTTCTTTGTTAGGTGTCCCGCTGCTAATTACACTTGTGATTCTTCCCATTTCCATATATTCTTTGAATGCAAGTCACTATACACGCCCATAGTTAAGGAATCGGGAGTTATAATCCACCTCCTTGATAGCAGAGTATCTACCTAAAGTATTTGGAGTATTTCTGCACTGAAGACTGTCTCTTCTTCATATATTTATTCAATAATTTACATCAGTGTGGATTCATGGATATTTATTTTATGCTTTTTACTTAATCCAGTATTACTTTGTTTTGCTTCTCAAAATTCATCCAGCTTCCACCATTGACAGCTTTCTTTTGGCTCCTGTGCCCCTTTGACATACCATATCATTGTGTGTATATGTTTGTTTTGTTTTGTTTTCTGAGTAGTTTCTGCTTTATGACATGAGAAGATGCTCCAGGATCATTTTGTATATTACTTGCAGTAGTCTGAGACTGTCATTTCTCTATAGAGTCCTATGTCTCCTCCTTGGATCATGGTATAATAAATCAAAATCCTGGCATCAGGTTTGTTGCTACCACTTTCCCGTTGTTGCTAGCCCCTCACCTAACAGAGCAAGGAATAGATTTTCACACACACACAGACATATTTATATCCACACACACATATATGAAAATGTGTGTATAGAATATATGTACATGAGTTTGTGTGTGTGAATATATATACGAACATGCACACACACATACATATTTAGGTATTTATGTATTAACCCATGTTTATACCCATATTTATAGGAACATGCAAATCTATTTCTACATATAATTATGTATATTTATGTTAAATTACATAGTTCATATTAAAATCTCCATTTCTAATCAATTTCCAAATAATTCTAGTCTTCTTCTCAGTTTTGTCTATAATCTTTCACTTCAACAGTAAAAAACTTGTTTCCCACCATCCACCATCGGTTAACGTAAATGTTCAGTTTCAGTATAGATGCATAGCAGTATCAGAATTGCTAAGCCTTTTCCTTGGGGGAGATAACTTTACCAAATAGAATGCTTATGTTCAATTCCTTTAGTATTTAATATTATATATGCCACTTGTTTCCAAAGTCACTTAGGTGAGTGTCTTTTTCCCCACTTCTTTTAGTGAGGCCATTTCATATACTTACAGTTTTTTTTTTTAATTCTAAATGCCATCCTGGAATCCCTTCTATCTAAACTTCTTTGAAAATTTGTATGAATTAAGACGTTCTTTGAGCTGTAAAATTTTATGCGTTTTGTCTAATGTATCATATCATGTATCCACTATTATAGTGTCATACAGAATAGCTGCATTACCCTTAAAAAATACTCTATACTTTCCGTGTTCAACTTTACTACCCCCTAATAATCTCTGATATTTTAATGTTCTTTTTAAAAATCATATACTAGGAATGATTATGTAATTTTTTTCAGTCTGGATTATTTCACTCACTAATATTTACTTAAGATTCACCCATACCGTTGTGTTGTTAGATAGCTCATTTCTTTTTATAGTTGAGCAGCATTACATTGTTATGTATCTGTTTTGTTTTGTTTATTCATTTAGTTCCCTGATGCACCCCCCAAAAGTACTCTATTTTCAGTTTGTTTAGCTTTTTCTTATTGTAAGAATGGAAATGGCAGCTTCCAAGCTCTTTCCATGTTGGAGGTAAAAACAGAAGTCATACATACCTGTTTTGTGTGTGTGTGTGTGTGTGTGTGTGTGTCTGTTTCAATAGAAAATCTAGATAATGCAGAAAAAACTAAGATATAAAAAGCACAGAATCGAATTCTGTTCTGATATTATCACATTATTCCAAAGTGATCATAATAAAAGGAATACACAGACATATATATGACTTCAAAAATAAACTCCTACTATTGTAACAGGAGGAGAAATGTAGATTATAAGGAAGTTTCATCTCAGACAGTGCACAGAAACGGTATAAAGAAGCAAGTTTATTTTAGTACTTTAAAGAATAGTTATGTTAAAGCCACAAATACAGGTTTCTTTCCAGCTAGCTATCCACAAACATGTATTTCTTTTTGCAACCCAGGTAATCAATGTTTTGAAATAGTACCTTTCTGTGGATTTTCTTTTTATTTCAGTAACTCTAATAACATGTTTTGTAAAATAAGCTAGGTGACTCTTGTCAGTATAAGTAATATAATAACACAGATAAGAAGATTAATTGCCGGTAAATGCATAAGTTAAATAAATCAATAATTATCTGTAGATTTAATATATCCACTGAAAAACCTGTCAAATATTATAAATCTTTAAAATATATTCTGCTTTTTGAGTCCTGAATTCCAACAATGGGACTGATTATCTTTTTTCTAGAAATTCTCTATAGGTACATATTATTTAGAGCACACTCAAGCTCTCTGTTCAAAATTTGAGAGCTCTTTGAGTCCTATTCTTTTATTTATTTTTTTTTTTAGACAGAGTTTTGCTCTTGTTGCCCAGGCTGGAGTGCAGTGGCATGATCTCAGCTCACTGCAACCACCATGTCCCAGGTTCAAGCGATTCTCCAGCCTTAGCCACCGAGTAGCTGGGATTACAGATGCCCACCACCACGCCTGGGTAATTTTTTTGTATTTTTAGTAGAGACGGGATTTCACCATGTTGGCCAGGCTAGTCTCAAACTCCTGACTCCAAGTGATCTGCCCGCCTCGACCTCCCAAAGTGTTGGGATTAGAGGCGTGAGCCACCGTGCCTGGCCAAGTCTATTCTTCATATACCTTCACGATATAACTTTTTTTGTACTATTGCTTGTCCCTTTCTGTTATTCTCTATTCTGTTCTTCATGGACATGGAAGAGAAGAAAATACGTACAGATGTATTAATATACGCATATGTATAGTCTATGTATATTTTACCTATTGCAAATATCTATCAAAATTCCCCAAAATTGGTTAGCACTGTCTTTAATGTTAAGCCAATAACTTCTGCCACATTTATCCAGTTATAAAAAGTTATATATAAACAAAATTTTAAATATTCTGTATGAACTGCAGCCATGAGCTGCATAACAATATTCTGGTCAATGACGGTCTGCATATTTGATCGTTCAATAAGATTATAAGACTATATTTTGACTGTACGTTTTCTATATTTGTACATGTTTAGATGCACAACTACTTACCATTGTGTTAGAATTGCCTATAGTATTCAATAGAAGAATATGCTATATAGCTTCATAGTCTAGCAGCAATAGGCTCTTCCATACAGTCTAGGTGTGTAGTAGGTTCTACCACCTTGGCTTGTGTAAGTACACTCTATGATGATCACACAATGAAAAAACTGCCTAATGATGCATTTCTTAGAATGCATCCCCATCCTTAAGCAATACATGACTGTATTCAAATAGTAAATGAAATAGGATTAAATCATTAACAAGCCAAGTATCCTTTTGTTAAGATGAAACCACGGGTGGCTTTTCTATTTCAGTGCAAAACTAGCTTGTTAACAAAGTAAGATTAAACCAAGTGCCAATTTCACAATGCTTACCCAGCTTAATGTTCCAAAATCTGTAGAAAATTTATGGTGAATTTCATACGCCAATTTATTTTCTTCCATATAATTTAGCAAGGCCAAGTAGTTTTAATTTGCCTTTATCAAAACCTCTATTCACTTAAAATAATAGAAATATTACTCAGAATCGATAGGGAATTTTAATGTAATCCATAAAAATTGCTTGTTCTTTATCTACTTTACTAAAACAGGCAGTTCAAGGTGTACAATTGTTACTGAAAATGCAAGCATGCTTCTCTGGGTCTCTGTTCTATGTAACTGTGCGTTTCTCTTTTCACTCTCACACACACACACACACACACACACACTCTCTCACATATAAAAACCTGCATGTATACACATATATTTTTCTGCTCAATTAATATAGATGGGAGTCTAGAATAAATGACAAAGTTTGAGTTGAATATAAATAAAGCAAATAGATATATTTACTTTACAGTCCAGAAACAGCCATGATGTAGATATAGTCAATTGTTGGAGCAGTAATTGCTGTTTGTTGTTAGACATTTATCAGAGTCTTAATATGTTAGAATAGAAAGGCATCTAATCATGCTGAAAAAAGTACACACACAAACACACCACAGTGTACCATATATATAATAACAATGATGCACAATAATTCAAATATTCCTTTCTTTATTAGCATTCACTGTGGACTGAACACAAGTACAGAATGCTTTTGAATTTGGTGCTCTTTCAACTTTTAATATCTTGCATCTGTGACCCCCTTCTATACAGAAGTCAATGTCATATTATATTGAGACTTCTCGGACCAGTGCAGGGGGAAATAATTGTTTTTTCTCTGTATCTCCACACCACCATAGTCTGTATGGATTATAACATGAATCATTACCATGCCAAAATATAATTTTCCGTTTACTTCCCTCTTTCATCATAATGTTAGGTCCTTCGTGGAAGGATCTAAAGTTTATTATCCCTCTGATTACATTATATTTTTCCCAGAGCCTAATAAAATTCATTAATATTTTTGTTTCTGTTTCTATAAATGACACAAAATTCAATTTTTTTATTTCTTTAAATATTCTTTCTAACTATACATGATGTTTTAACCATTTTTAGGATGTATTCAGCATTTCAGGTAATTATTTTCCCCTCGTTTTTTGGCTTCCTATTGCAACAGATCTCACCCTGGGAAATACAGCATAGGTATCTGAGTGTTACAATTACCTGAAGTAGTGTCATGGTAAGGAATAATTTGATTATGAATGGTAGACATAGGCTGCAATTGTCATGTACATATTGTCATTCTTTATATATTAGATGAAGTTTCTACATTGAATTTTTTTATAAAAATATTTTATTTATTTTTGAAACATTTAATTGAAAAATATAGATTATACATATTCAAAGTGTACAATGTGATGACTTGACACATATACACTATGCAATGATTACCACAACCAAATTAGTTGACACATCCATCACCACCCACGCTGTACCTTAGATACTCAGAACTTGTTCATCTTATAACTGAAAGGTTATACCGTTTGACTAATATCTTTCTATTTCCCCCATTTCCCAGTGGGGGGACATATCTTGACAATGTCACTATGTTTCCACATCTTGGCAACATCACTATTACTTCAATGAAAATGAGAGGTGCAGGGGGTGCAGATATTTCTCTGATACATTTATTTCGCTTCCCTTGACTGGGTATCCAAAAGTGAGACTGCTAGAACATACGGCACTTCTATTTTTAATGTAAGAAAAATCTTCCTTACTGTTTTCATAATGGCTATGCCAATATACATTCTCACCAAGGGTGTACAGGGTTCCCTATTCTCTATTCAAGCCTTTGCTCATTTTTTAATTGGAGTGTGTGTGTGTGTGTGTGTGTGTGTCTGTGTGTTTGCTATTGAGTTGTGGGAGTTCCTTACATATTTTGAATATTAACACATTATCAGATATACAATTTGCAAGTTTTTTACCCGTTCCATAAGCTGCCTTTTTATTTTGTGTATTTTTTCCCTTTGCTTGCAAAAGCTTTTTAGTTTGATGTGGTCTCAGTTCATTTTTCCTTTTGTTCCATGTGCTTTTGATGTCACATCCAAAAAAAAAAAAACAGTGCCAAATCCAATGTAAGGGAGGTTTTTTCCTATGTTTTCAAAGTTCCAAGGTACAAAATCAACATACAAATCAGTTGCATTTCTTTATAGTAGCTAGACATTATTAGAAATAAAATTAAGAAAATTATTCCATATACAATAGCGTCAGAGAGAAAAAATATTTATGAATAAATTTAACCAAGGAGGTAAAAGATCTATACCAAAAAAAAAAAAAAAAACCAAACTATAAGACATGAATGAATGAATTTGAAGAAGACACAAATGAATGGAAAGATTTCTCTTGTGCATGGATTGGAAGAATTGATATTGTTAAAATGACCATATTACCCAAAGCAATCTACAGATTCAGTACAACTCCTATTGATACAGAAGTGGGGCAGGGAAGTGCTGGGTAGAGAAAGGCGGCTCCCTGGCTAGGGGTCTACCCCCGGGCCTCTGTCCACGGACCTAGGTGAGGACAAGCACTCCTGCCTTCATGACCAAATATTGCATTTTCCAAGACCACCCTGGCCCACCAGGCCCCCATCCTGTGCCTACAGAAACCCCAAGACCCTAGCAGGCAAAGACACAGCTGCTTGACATCGAGAGGAACACATCAACGAAGAAGACACAAGCGGCTAGATGTTGAGGGGAGCACACCTGTGGAAGAGCACACCAACACACCGGCAGGCCATCCACCCATGGAATGACGCAGAGTTTGGCTGGGGTGGTCAGAGGAGAGCGCGGGCCGCTGAGCAGCTCGACTCTAGGGGAAAACCATCTCCGTTCTGGCTCCCCCATCTGCTGAGAGCTAATTCCACTCAATAAAACCTTGTACTCATTCCCCAAGCCCACGTGTGATCCAATTCTTCCGGTACACCAAGACAAGAACCTGGGATACAGAAAGCCCTCTCTTCTTGAGATAAGGCAGGGGTCTAATTGAGCTGACTAACACAAGCCGCCTACAGATGGCTACACCGTATTTAAATATAATTTACAGTGTTCACAGTGGTAATATTTGTAGCAAATGAATTGATCAATAGATTACAAAGTTAGTTTCCCTGGCTTCCTATGTGTAGGTAATGAAGAAGGAGAGTGGAGAAGCTTTATTTAAAGCTGTAACACAATGTTGAAGTAGGTCAGATGCTTATATAGCCATGAATATTTTGTTCCAGTTTCACTAATATATTGAAGCCTCATATAAAACTAGTCTTCAGATGACTGTCAAAAAGTTACTAAGCATTACTAATTCCTACCATACAAAAAATAACTGCTAGGAAGGAAAACTCTAAACTTATGCCCAAAAGGATTTATTTTATTTTCACTGTATTTCTGTATTGGCTATCATTAGAAAGCTAGTACGTGCACTAAACTTTGTTGTTTATATTTTAGAAACAACAAGCTATGTTTCTCAGGCCAAAATACTTGGGGAAATATATAATGGCTACCTTAAAACCCAAATAAGTCTACCCAGTGGTCATATTTAAGAACAAAATAATAAAAATATCCAGAAGGTTTAACATCCCAAACATAGGCGATTTCTCAAATGAACAGATTAGACAGTTGATTTTCTAGAAGATTACCTATCTGTACTGGAAGAAGAGTGGAGAACCTTGCTAAAATAACTACTGGACCTGACTTCAGACTCTCTTGTTTGTGGATAAACCTAGCTCCTTAACACATTTAAAAATATTCTATATGATATGTGTTCCTAAATTGTTTAGGAAGATTTGTAAATAGTTAGCATTTGGTTGTACTCTAATAAAACTTGTTTATATTTTGGTTAAATAAACTTGTTTATATTTTGGTTAATATGTCACGATATTTATTCATAGTTTCAAGACTATAGCTAAATTATTCCCTGATTATTCAATTATTTTTTATATTCAACTGAATGAATTCAGTTAGAAATGGTTTAATGTGCATAATGAAGCGTTATAACTAACATCAAGACCATTCTAATCTAAATAGCCTCTTTTCATGTTCTTCTCAACAATAAAAATGTTCTAGTCAGATAATGCAGTTTGAATTGAGCTGGCTGATAATAATTAATTAAATCAATATAAATATTTAGAATTCATTGACTCTGAATCAGAGAGAATAAAATTTGAAAAGTGATTTTGAATGTTTTGCTTATTGCAAACATATGCATTTAAAATATTTTTTATTCAAATACCAATATTTTAATCTTTAGTTACACAAACACGTGTAGTCAAGCTTCCCTTCCACTTCATTTTAGTTATGGAAAATATTCCAAAGTAGGCAAAGTTTCTCTTTAGGAAATTGCTATCTGAGCTAAAACTTCAAATATTACATTCACACTTAATGCTCCTATGTTATCACCGCCAGTCCCTCTCCCACCTCTCCTGCTACCTGCATGGGCTGGGTACTTCATGTTCATCTCATTCACATATTCACCATTTTAACAAAGACTTGAGTGGCTACACATGTATTTGGTGTGGGGAAGGAAAAGTTATATACTTTGTTGCATCTTCCCAAAAATCTAGCCTAGTTTAGTGATGTTTTGATATCTGTAGATTTCTTTAATAAGAAAAACATAGTTAGTGTTTTAAAAATGAAGTACCATGGACTTTCAGCAGAGTGATGGGTCTCTTCTTATTGATATATAAAACATACTTCTCACCATAATTGTATTAAAGTAGAAGAATATTTACTTCTACTAGAAGTAAGGTTAGAAGGCAGAGTACCAATAGTACCTACCAGTATTATTATAGAAGAAGATCATGCAGTTTTTTTAGATCATAAAAATGCTTAATTTCTGAGGTGTAATCAGTTCACATATGATACATCATATAAATCAGTTTATATATGAAAAATTAGAGATTGAAAAACAAATTCATCAACATTTATGTTATTCGTTAAATTAATTTTAAAATGAATTAAAACAAAAAATTAAACAATATGTCCAAAGATTTTAGATTGATACAGACAAAAGTTTTATGGACTTTGATGTAGATAAGAATTAATAAAATAGGTATTGAATATATACTTGGCTAGGTGTAATGTAAGAAAAGATAAAAAATAGATTAGTCTTAATTCAATAGCTCTAAAAATATATTATTAAAATGTATCTATTTGAGACGTCTTCACCATAAACTGAGAGATTACTTATAAAAGTTATAATGAATAAAGCTGGACAACATAAATTAGTTTTTTTATATTTTCATACTTAATAATTATTGGTTATTAAGTGCTGTACATGGGCTACTAAGTTGTATTAGGCTTTTTTGCATTGCTATAAAGGAATAACTGAGACTGGGTAATTTATAAAGAAAAAAATCTTTAATTAGCTCACGGATCTGCAGGCTTTACAGAAAGTATGATGCCAGCATCTGCTTCTAGCAAGGCCTCAAGAAGCTTACAATCATGGCAGAAGCGTCAGAAGGAGCAGACACATCACATAGTGAGAGCAGAAGCAAGAGAGAGAGGCAAGTTTCCATAACCCTCTTTTAAATAACCAGCTCTCATGTGAACTAACAGTGAGAATGCAGTAATTATCATGAGGACAGCACAAAGTCACTCATGAGGGACCCACTCCCATGACTGAAACACCTGTCACCAGGCCCCACTTTCAACATTGGTGATTATGTTTCAACATGAGATTTGGAGGGAACAAACATCCAAACCATGTTATTCAACCCAGACATCCTAAATCTTATGTCCTTTTCACATTGCAAAATACAATATCTCCTCCCAATAGTTCAGTACATTCTTAACTTGTTTCAGCATTAAGTCCAAAATCCTAAGTCTCATCTGAGAATCATCGCCTTTGGCTATAAGCATGTAAAGTAAAAATAAGTTATCTACTTACAAGATAAGATGGTGGTACAGGCATTGGGCAAATGTTTCTATTCCAAAAGGGAGGAGTCACCCAAAAGAAAGCATCAAACAGGCCCCATGCAAGTCTGAAACTCAGCACAGCAGCCATTAAACTCTAAAGCTCCAAAATAATCTCCTTTGACTCCATGTCCCACATCCAGGACACACTGGTGAAAAGGGTGGGCTCCCAAGGCTTGAACAGGTCCACTTCTTTGGCTTTACAGGGTACAATCCCCGTGGCTGCTGTCATGGGTTGGACTTGAGTGCCTGCAGATTTTCCATGTTTAGGTTGCAAGCTGCCAGTGACTCTACCATTCTTGGGTCTGGAAGGTGGCATCCCCTTCCCATAGCTCCATTAGAAAGTGCTATGGGGACTCCAACTTCACATTTCCCCTCTGCACTGCCATAGTAGAGATTCTCTGTGAGGGCTCCAGCCCTGTGGCAGGATTCTGCTTGGACAGCCAGGCTTTCTTATACATCCTCTGAAATCTAGGTGGAGCTGCCAATCTTGCATTCTGTGTGCCTTCAGGCTTAACAAAACATGGAAGCGGCCAATGTTTACAGTTTGTGCCTTTCAGAGCAGTGGCCAGAGATGTTTCTGGGACACTTTGAACTGAGGCTGGAGCCAGCATAGCCTCAATGCAGGGATCAATGGCCCAAGGCTGCACAGGGCAGCAGGGCCCTCAGTCTGGCCTTCCAAATTATTCTTTTCTCCTAGGCCTCTGGGCCACAGATGGGAAGGGATGCCGTGAAGCCTCCTGAAATGCCTTTGAGTCCTTTTTCCTATTGTCTTGGATAGTAGTATTTGGCTCTCTTTTAGTCATGCTAATCTCTCTATCAAGTGGTTGCTCCATAGCCTCCTTAGATTTCTTCTCTGCCACAGGGCCAGGCTGCAAATTTTCTAAACCTTTACACTCTGCTTTCCTTTTAATTATAAATTCCAACTTTAAGTCATTCCTTCGCTCCTGGGTATCTAATCATAGATTATGAGTAGCTGCCCAGGTCACCCCTTGAAGACTTTGCTGCTTAGAAATTTATTCTTCCAGATACCCTATGTCATTACTCTTAAGTTCAACTCTACACAGATCCCTAGGATGTGGACACAATGCAGCAAAGCTCTTTACTATGGCATACTACAGGTGACTTTTACTCCAGTTCCCAAGAAATTCTTCATTTTCATCTAAGACCTCATTAGCCTGGCCATCACTGTACATATTACTATCAGCATTTTCTTCACAATCATTTTACCAGTCTCTAAGAAATTCCAAACTTTCTCTTATCATTCTGTCTTTTCCTGAGTCCTCAAAACTCTTCTAGCCTCTGCTCATTACCCAGTTCCAAAGCCAGTTCCACATTTTCAGGTATCTTTATAGCAATGCCTCACTCCTTGATACCAATGCTCTGTATTAGTCTGCTTTTGCATTGCTGTAAAGGAATACCTGAGCTTCAGTAATTGGCTCACAGTTCTGTAGGCTTTAAAGGTAGCATGGTGCCAGTGTCTGCTTCTTGTGACCCTCAGGAAGCTTACAATAATGGCAGAGAGCATATGGGAGCAGGCACATCATAGGAAGCAAGAGAGAGAGGGGGGAAGTGCCACAATCTTTTAAACAACCAGCTTTCATGTGAACTAACAGTAAGAACACACTTATTATTATGAGGACAGCACCAAGACATTCATGATGGACCTGTCCCCGTGATCCAAACACCTTCCACCAGGCTCCACCTCCAAGACTGGGATTACATTTCAACATGATATTTTTAGGGGACAAATATCCAAACCATACCACAAGTGCTATACATATATTAGTATGTATAGTCCTCTAAGTCCTATAATATTAATGTGACTATTTTATAATGAGTAATCCAAAAAAATTAAAATAGATATATGACTTGAGTAATTTTACAGAACTTATAAGCAGATGAGTTAGTGCTTGTGCTACACAAAAAACAAGGAACTGAAAATACAGTGACACATTCAAGATAAATATGTATTTCTCTTTCACACAACAGTTCAAAGGTAATTAGTTGCCAGGGATAAAGGCAATCTACCATTCTCAAATATGTTTTCCACCTCTTAGGTCAAGGTAGCTATTTCCTTTGTTGCCATAAAGAAGAGGGCAAAGCTGAGTAGTAATCACATAATTCTTTCCTGGGTGTGGATCAGAAGAGGCTTGTATAATTGTTGCTTTCATCTCATTGGGCAGAATGTGGTCCCAACAAAGAAAAATGATCTGGAAACTATAATATCAAATACATTGCACACATAACCAGCTGAAATTTTGCAGTATTAGGATTAAATAAGGGGAGTCTGAATATTGGTGAACAACTATTAGACTTGCTACAGTGGAAGCTGAAATAAAAATTTTGATCCTAATATATAGCCCAGAAGTGGGATTGCTAGCCCATGTTCCCTTCAGCAATATTCATGATATCCAAGATAATGGACATAACTCAAATGTCTACCAACTGATGAATGGATAAAGAAAAGGTGATATATTTATACAATGGAATATTAATTAACCTTACAAATGGAGGAAATCTTGACATATTTAACAACATAGATGATACGGTTTGGATTTTGTTCCCACCTAAATCTTATGTGGACTTGGAGGAGGGGGCTGGTGGGAGGTAATTGGATCATGGGGGCAGATCTCTTCCTTGCTGTTCTCATGATAGTGAGTGAGTTCTCATGCGATCTGATGGTTTAAAAGGGTATGGAATTTCCCCCTTCTCTCTGTTTTTCTCCTACCACCATGAGAAAATGTGCTTGCTTCCTCTTTGCCCTCTGCCATGATTGTAAGTTTCCTGAGGCCTCCCAGTCATGCTTTCTGTTAAGTCTCCAGGACTGTGAGCCAATTAAACCTGTTTTCTTCTATTTCACTACCTGAAGTCACCCAGTTTCAAGTAGTTCTTTATAGCAGTGTGAGAATGAATTAATACAATAGATGAAGCAAAAGAATATGATGCCAAGTGAAATAAACTAGGTGCAGGAAGACAAATACTGTATGATTTTACTTATACGTGGAATCTACATAATCAAACTCATAAGAACAGAGAGTAGAATGGTGGTTATTAGGGGCTGAGGGATTGAGAAAATAGGTAGATGCTGTTCCAGGGGTACAAAGATCTAATGTAAAAAAATGTGACTATAGTTAACAATATCGTATTGGACAATTGAAATTTGCTAAGAAGGTAGATCTTAATTATTCTCATCATGAAAATAAAATAAAAGTAACAAAGATAAGAGAAAGAAAGAAAGAAAAATAGAAAGGAAATGTTAACTATATGAAGTGATGGATACGTTAATTAATTAGCTTGATTTTGATGACTATGTCACAATGTGTGTGTATATATATACGTATATATCAAATCATAAAGTTGGACACCTTTAGGCTGTCAACCGTACTTCAATCAAAATGGTGGTGGTGGGTTGGGGAGTGCAGATATCTGCAACTCCCAGTGCTATTTAATCTCTACACCACACTAATTCCACTTACTTCTTTGCACTCACATCCCATCTGATTCCAATGGTCAGTATATTATTCCTGTGTTATTTAGCGTTAATTATCCCTGGCCCTGTTTTCTCCCCTTTGCTGCTTAATTTTTGAGCACAGAGTATATATGTATATATATACATTTGTGTGTGTGCATATATATATATATACACATATATATATTTCACATTCCCTGACACTACTTAAAATATGTTCCTAATTAAACCATGAATTAAAATGAATACACTTGTTGCCTGAGTGATTATATTCCTCAGTACAGTTTTATTATTGTTGTTTTCTGTTAATTTGGACAGGATAGAAAAAGAAACCACTTGCACTTACAAAACTTTTGAACTACATTGCATATTCTATCATGTAAACATACATTTTGGTGAATTTTCATTAAAAAGTAGATATGAACTATTTAAAAACATTCCTGGCAGTGTTGGTGCTCTTACTATACACATTGTTTTCATTGCTGATTTCATACCCTATTATCTAAGTTTTTGTTAGAAATTAGTTTGCTACTTCAGAGACCAGTGAAATGTTTTTTGTGAAGTTATACATCTATCAGACAGCAAAAAAATTGTTTCCTAGTTTCCTTAACTTCTGCATCTTCCAATGAATAAAACATTTTTTTCTAGATGGTTTATTTTCTGGCTGAATTATTTTTTGATGCTCTGTATCCATGATTCTTAAAGCTGGCAACATATCAGTTTCACTTGGAAACTTTTTTTTTACTTGTTTGTTTAAAAAGACTCCTGTTCACTAACCCCAAAGGATTCAGATTTCATATGTGAGGAAAGAAGACTAGCAACATGTTTTTTAAAGGAGCCCAAGGTTAATCTTTATTTGGAACCAAGCTTGAAAACAAATTCTTAAACATGAGGCAGAACGGAAGAGTATTTACCAGCTCAGGTTCTGGGATCAGAAATATAGGATTGTGTTCTAACTGTACAACTCACTGGCTGTGGATTTGAAAAAGTTTCCTTAATCTAAAACAGAGAAAAAAAGTTCTAAGTGAAACATGAGACACTAAATAAGCAAACAATACATGTTAGCATTATTATTATTATGGAGATGTTTCAGTAATTTTTTCAGATACACTACTCTTTTACTAATTTATACTGTTTGGCATTATCTCTTAATTCAAAAATTATAATTACATGCATTTTTATTGTATTTCATTTCTTGTTATTAAAAGAATATACAATTATGGGGAAAATAGTGAACTTGAAAGATCTGTAGCCACTCACTTAAATTTATTTTTTAGGTGGCAGAAACTTCATCCATACATTAGGCTTATATCCAAGAGCAAAGCTGGCAAAAATACCTGCCCTTATGGAACTCACTAAACTTCTAGTGGTTGGTAAAAAGAAACAATCCAAATAAATGTTTGTTTGTTTGTTTGCTTGTTTTTTTGAGATAGAGTCTCACTCTGTTGCCCAGGCTGGAGTGCAGTGGTGCGAACTTGGCTCACTGCAACCTCCGCCCCCCAGATTCAAATGATTCTCCTGCCTCAGCCTCCCAAGTAGCTGGGATTACAGGCGCCTGCCACTGCGCCTGGCTAATTTTTGTGTGTGTGTGTGTGTGTGTGTTTTTTTTTTTTTAGTAGAGACGGGGTTCCACCATCTTGGCCAGGGTGGTCTTGAACTCCTGACCTCGTGATCCACCCGCATCAGCCTCCCAAAGTGCTGGGATTACAGGCGTGAGTCACCATGCCCGGCCCCAATTAAGTGTTTTAATAGTAAGAGTTATGCAGCAAAGGCAGAGAAAATGGGATAAAGATACTGTGGCAGTTGTAATTTGCATGTCTCAGAAGACCTCACTATGAAGATGACAGTTGACAATACCTGAAGAAGTCATTTCAGACATGTAGATATCTGGGGGAAGAGCATTTCAGGTAATGAAAAGAGCTGGTACAAAGGCCCTGAGGCAGGAGCATGGTTGATGCTGGCCATGGCCAACCTTGCTGAAGTGGAAGAAACAGAGAAGGAAGGTGAAAACAGAATGGGAAAGACTTTTCGATGATTGTAAGAAGTTTGCATTTTAAACTCAGTGAAAGATTTTAAGTAGAGGAGTTACATATCTGAATCAATTAGGCTTCCCTCTTGCTAACAAACTAAAAAGTAGCAATGGTAGAAGTAGGGAGACCACTCAGACTACTTCATCACCACTTAGGCGACTACATCAGTGTAAGCAGGAATTAACTGTAGCTTTAACCAAGGTTATACAATGAGAATTAGACCATTTATAAACATATTTTGAAGACAGACCACTAAATTTTTTTGATGAATCAGATATTCATATGAATAGTGGCAGAGATAGAAGTCAAGGGTATCTCGAGTTCAAGCTTTATTCCCAAGATTTGAAATTGCATTAGATATACAGATGGGAAGCATTTAGTATAATTAGGTTTGTGTTGACATAACATTGAAAACATCAATCTGTTAAAGTAGTAGATGAAATGTACAGCAAAATAGTTTACATGCTAGCACGTGTTCATTAGCTTGTAACTAGATTTGGAAATTCATAAAGCACAAAAGGCAACTGATTTTCAGGAAAAATGAATTAGCACTTCTATGTACTCTCAATTATTTCCACAACATTAAATGTCAACAATATGTTGCCAAGTTCAAAAATTATATATCTAGTTCAGCGCTTTATCTAATTCTTAAATGAGGCAATTATCTTGATACTTTTATTTTTTATATCAATATTCAGCTAATCCATAAGTCATGTACATCTTACCTTTAAAATATCTTCTTCATATCCAATGCAATCTTCCTGGCCCAATATTCTACTGTATCTTGTGGATGACAGCACAGTTGTTTCCAAAGCAAACTCCCTGCCTTCATTTCTTCCCCAGAAGAAAAGTGGCAGAAGCCAGAGTGATGTTATTTTAAAAAAGTACCTCAGATCATGTCCTTTATCAAAATTTTTATAACGTTCCCTTCACTTGGACTGAATTCAAATATTTCATCATAAACTTCAAAGCCCAGCACAATCTTCCTTCCTCCCCAAATAGAAAATTATCATACTGTGCTTCCCCCTTACCTCTCAGATGTTCTAGTGTCCTTCTCAGTTTCTACAATACAAAAACCCTTCTGGCTTTAACGGGTTTTCACATGGTTTTGTTTATGCCTGGACTTGTCCGTAATGTCTTTAAGTAGGTGAACATGTTTTAGCATTTTTTTGCATTGTCTTTAGGTAGGTGTAGATGTTTTTGCATTTTTAGACCAAAATTAAAAAGTTACTTCCTAAGAGACAACTCTTATGACCAACTGATTTAAATAATAACTACCCCTCCTTTGTTTTGTTCCCAGGTATTCATGTTTATTTACCATACTTCTGGGGAAGAGAAGATACCAGACTGTCCAGCACTAACTCCTATGAGAGAGTCACCATCTTTAAGGTATCATCCTAGTGTCGAGATAGCGTTGGACTGAAAATGAGACAAATTAATTATAGTAAAGATTCTACTAAAAGTGCTAAACTGAGTGTTCTGCCTAAAATTTAATTCTCACATTTCTGAAATATTGATCTTTAGATATATACAAGCACTTTTCATTATTTTTAAAAACTTTTAGTAGATTTCCTGGTTATTGAGAGATGAGAGCTAAACTTATCTTTGAATAAATGTTATTATTTGTGGGAAAGAAAACAAAACAATGTAAAACAAGCAAAATCACTTTAATGGAACTGTTTGCTGTGCAAGCTAAAATTCACTTTCTCGATCAGAAAAATTCCAATCAACGAGAAGAAAAGAAAAAGGAGGTTTTTCTTTCTTTTGGGAGAAAAGCCTGCCTGAGATTATGTTTGTTAAAAAGGCAGTTGCTGCTGTGAGATTGGGAAGAAAGTGATGACTGTTTCTCTCTTCTTGGTGTTCACAGGATTTGTGGCCAAGATTTTAGTTAGGAAGGATATAGTTGAAGGTAATATTGATAGAAAGGCTAAGGAGATAGTAAAGTGGGAGAAACCCTAGAGAGATAGTTGGCACATTTGACAGGTATTAGTGAGAATCATAACTGCTTTAATCACTCCCTATTGTGATGTAATTCTGTTATCACCAAATTTCAGGAAAGTTTTGAAAATGTTACAATCCCTTATAAGATGTGCCTTGGAGATTTAATGGATGGCCACGAATGCTGTGAAAGGCTTTAGGGAGAGATAAAGCAGCTCACAAGTTGCCAATCCTGTGATCTTTATGTAATACACAGGAGAGGTGCAGCCATCAAGTGCCTGTTCACTGACAGGTGGCAGGAAGACAAGCAGGGCAGCTTTGTGATGTGTAAGCATTGCTTAGGAAATACTTCCCATACATGTGCAAGGTAATGAAAGAGGGAGAAATTCATGAGGTCCAGGAAGATGAAGAACAGATTAATATTACTTAGGGACTTTAAGAGAGGAAAACTAAAAGTCTAGAACTATCAGAGACCAATAGCTTAAAAAAGGAATTGTGTACTTGATTTCTGTGGTATTAGGTTTAATTATAAATGTAAAATTTTCTATTTATTTGTTCTTATTTATCCTTATATCATTTTGTTAAAACATAGGATATGTTAAAATGTCACACACCAATTGTGTTTCATAATTTTCACTTTTAACATGGCTCTTTGTCTAATAATACCTTAATGCCCTTCATTTAGGAAAATCCTATAATCTCCTCTTTCCCATGCTTGGTCCCCTGAGATTTTGACAAAAACTGTTTATATGAAAAATTATCTCTTGCAAAATATGAGCGGCCACACTTCCAGCATTTGTCTTTGAGAATTATACCATACACCGTATAGACTATACATCTATTTACCTAATTTTAATAAAGCCTATTTTTATGTATTATTTAAAAGAAAATGATGGCAAGCTTAATTGTTTTTAAAGTAATTATTATAAAAACATCATATTTTATATTTTTGTGGAGTACATGCAATATTTTTATAAACACATACAATGCGTAATAATTAAATCAGGGTAATTAGGGTATCCACCATTTCAAGCATTTGTTATTTCTTTGTGTTGGAAATATTCCTAATTCTAATTTTGGTTATTTAAAAATGTACAACGAATAATTAATTCTAGTCCCTGTTGTACTACCAAATATTCTATCTTATTAATTCTAATGAACTGTATTCATAGCCATTAACCAACCCTCTCTTATCCACCCCCTCTCTGCTACCCTTCCCAGCCTCTAGTAACCATCATACTACCCTATCTCTATGACTTCAATGTTTTAAAAAAATTTTAGCTTGCACATATGAGTGAGAACCGCAAAATTAGTCTTTTGGTGCCTGGCTTATTTTACTTAACATAACCTCCTCTAGGTACATCCACGTTGTTGCAAATGACAAGAGTTCATTCTTTTTAATGGCTGAATTATATTCCATTGTGTATATGTATTAATACTATATATGGGCCACATTTCCTCATTCACATCTGGGCTGATTCCATATCTTGGCTATTGTGAAGAGTGCTGCATTAAATATGGGAATGCACAGATCTCTTTTATATACTGATTTCCTTTTCTTTGGACATATACCCAGTATTGGGATTGATGGATTGTATGGTTACTCTATTTGACAGCTTTTAAGGTGGGAGAATACAGGAGAAAACCTTGGCTATTTCAAAAACTCTACTATTTTTATACAGGGTTTTATGTCTGGCAAATATTGAACTCTGTGCCTACACATAGACAGTATATAAGGCCCAAAGTATTTTTCCTGTCTACTTACAAACATATTTTCTTTTGATTGAGAGGGTGTATAGGACAATCAGTACTATTCTGCATCTGACTTTGTTGGCTGTGTAGTAGGAGGTTATTAACCTGAATCATAGCATTAGATGGTACACCACATGCTTTTTGAGAATAATGAGGCTTCATTTTTATAGCGATATTTCAGTGGAAATTTATGAAGAGTGTATCATTAGACAACATTTAGACAGAATTATATACATTCCTTATGAGAAAAAAAGTATATACTTAGACTAAAATTCTAAAATCTCCCAAATTTATTCAATGTATTAATTCAACACAAAACTCATATGATGTTATGCTTATAGCAAAAGTTGTTGATTTATTAGATTTTGATTATATAGGATCCAAATTGTCATGCAAATTAAAAAAAGACATATCACACTTCCAATCTAATATATGGATTTTGTAACTAATTTCACAAAAGTGAAAGCAATTAAGTAAAAAAACACAGCCCAGGCACGGTGGCTCACGCCTGCAATCCCAGCATCTTGGGAGGCCGAGGTGGGTGGATCACGAGGTCAGGAGATCAAGACCATCCTGGCTAACACAGGGAAACCCTGTCTCTACTAAAAATACAAAAAATTAGCCAGGCGTGGTGGTAGGTGCCTGTAATCCCAGCTACTTGGGAGGCTGAGGCTGGGGAATGGCTTGAACCCGGGAGGTGGAGTTTGCAGTGAGCCGAGATCGCGCCACTGCACTCCAGCCTGGTGACAGAGCAAGACTCCGTCTCAAAAAAAAAGGAAAAAAACACATAAATTGTGCACAAAATTAGAAAACATGAAAATCAAAAAACGTCAATGTCATTTTGATACTTCATTACTTTTTTTAGAGTTTTTTCTTTTATCTTTTCTCCATTATATATATCTATGTGTGTGTTTTTAAGTACAATGTTTTCTTTTGAGTGGAAACCTGTCTTTACGTATTTTTTACATTTGGCACAATCTTGTAAAAATCACAGGCTCATTTTTTGACCGACTTTGTCCTGGAAAATAATTTGCAAATAAACAAAATTTATTCTCTGAGTGTGTCATGTAGCTAGATGGATGCCAAACAGGAGTTCATATTTACATACATTTTGGGATTCCAGATTAAGCTTCACTGTTGTTAGATGGAGCTTAGATGGAAGTGTTATGTTAAGGAGGCAAATTAAGCAATCCAAAAGTCTTAAAAACAGACTTCACCAGACTTCTTTAATCTAGTGCCATTATCATTATTATTTTTAACATTATTAATCTGAAAAAGGCTTTACCTAAATAGAAGTACTAAAAGATCCTATAGTGATTCTTAGACAGGTGGAATTATAATACCCACATGCCTTTTAGAAATTTTCACTAATGTGGCTGGGCGTGGTGGCTCACGCCTGTAATCCCAGAACTTTAGGAGGCTGAGGCAGGTGGATTACTTGAGGTCAGGAGTTTAAGAGTAGCCTGGCCAACATGTTGAAACCCCGTCTCTTCTAAAAATTACAAAAATCAACTGGGCGTGGTGGCACACACCTGTAATCCCAGCTACTTGGAAGGCTGAAGCAGGAGAATCACTTGAACGCAGGAGGTGGAGGTTGCAGTGAGCCGAGATCATGCCACTGCACTCCCGCCTGGGTGACAAAGCGAGACTCCGTGTAAAAAAAAAAAAACCAAAACCAAAACAAAACAAAACAAAACAAAAACACCAAAAAGGAATTTTCACTAACATTAATTTTATCTTCTTTTTTCCCACAATATCATCCCCTGTCTCAGCTACAACCTCTGTGAAGTGTCCATTTCCGGAAACTTTCCTGAAATCACTATTTCCTATCTTTTTCACTTGTTTACCCTTGCAATGTACCAGATACCCTTTGAGAGACAGATTCTCTAAAGATTTAGAGCTATGAATATGAAATGGATAATCATCCAAGCAATTTATTTAACACTACAATTCCACTCATGTAAAACTGCATTTGCTTTTCTGTTCTAGTTCATTGCAGGGCATATCTCAAATCAATACAAAGTGTGGGGAATATGTGCCTTAGGAAAAATAGCTGTTTAGTAATGTCTGGATATATGTTCATCTCCAGGTGGGTCCATAGAAAAGAGTCCATGGTATTTTGTTTATGAATGTTTAGGCTGGGCATAGTAGCTCATGCCTGGGTAATCCTAACATATTAGGAGGCTAAGGCAGGAGGATCACTTGAGCCCAGGAGTTCCAGATTAGCTTGGGCAACACAACAAGACCTCATCTCTACAATGATTAAAAAATTATCCAGGTATGGTGTCATACATCTATGGTCCCAGCTACTCAGGAGTCTGAGGTGGGAAGATCTCTTTGGTCCAGGAGGTCAAGGCTGCAGTGAGCCGTGATCATGCCACTGCACTCCTGGGTGACAGGAGTAAGACCCTGTCTCAAAAATAAATAAATAAATAAATAAATAAATAAATAAATAAATAAATATTTAAAAGAAAGTTCAAAGGAGAGCTGCATCAGAATACAGTTCTTATCCAGACAAAGACTAGTGCACACAAATATGAATTTAAGGGAATACACATTGAAATGTAAGTTATTTATTACCATAAATATGAAAATTGTATTTCTAATTATATGTGTCAAAGTGAAAAATATTCACCTCATAAAGTTCATTTTTATTCTGAAATTGGAATTAAAGTCACCAATCTTCATTTTACTATCACTGAGACGATAGCAAACAGATGCAACATATTTTGCCAGTAACAAGGTAATTATTTCAATTTTTCATATTATTTCCAATTTAACCTCATGAATAAATCATTTATCTACATTGTTTTTATTTTTCTCATAAAATTTTTCTTCTGTATATTTAAAACAATTTAATATTCAAAATAATATACAAAAGCACTTTCAGTCAGGTGACTATATAATTTATGGTAAAATGTATTTCCATGATTCTGACATGTTTTTAATTTAAATAATGGTTAATATATATGGTGGCTACTCTCATTCAGCTATGGTAAAAGTTGCTATACATAGGTTACTTAATTTAATTCTATCCATAACCCTGTGAAAGATGCTTTCTCCTCATGTTATGGATGGAATGGTCAAGTTATCCGAGAACACTGAGTTTAGGTAGAAATGTAGAAAGCTGTAATTGGAACAAGATTTGTCATCAACATTTTTTATTCCTGAGAATTTACTCATCAATACATTTTCCAGATTACTGCTCTCTTAAGTCAACAAATTAATTAAGATAAACAATTTCTTCACCTATAATAATTTTTAACATTAGGAAAGAAAGGTGGAATTGCAAATCCAAGATGTCTACTATGTGGTGAAATCTGCTGAAGAAGAATGAGGAAGGGCATGCCTAGAGAGAGAGCACACACTGAATAATAACGGATATGCACAGAGGAGATAAGACACGAGGAGGTAATTGCCATGATTTGGAGATCGATCGAGGTCCTTAATCCACTCATTCTTTGTGGGTTCTTGTGTTTTATAGAATCACACTGCACATCTATTGTATTTCAAAATATCCCTCCTTATATGTAGGTACTTTAAGTTGGCTTTTGTAACTTATAATCTGAACAGTCCAAAAAAGGCATTCAAGATTAAAAAAAAGTAAATTGAGGAGAAATACGAATTTCTATTAAATGGTGAGACAAACGGCAGGTAATCATGAACTAAACCAAATGGGCTGCAAATGGCAAACAACCTACAATGGTAATAGTTGTGATGGTTAATACTGACTATCAATTTGGTTGGATTGAAGGATGCAAAGTATTGTTCCCGGGTGCGTCTGTAAGGATGTTGCCAGGGGAGATTAGCATTTGAGTCAATAGACTGGGAGAGGCAGACTCACCCTCAATCTGGGTGGGTACCATCTAATCATCGGCTAGCATGGCTAGAATAAAGCAGGCAGAAGAACATGGAAGGACTAGACTGGCTGAGTCTTCCAACTTTCATCATTCTCCCATGTTGGATACTTCCTGCCCTCAAACATTGAACTCCAAATTATTCAGCTTTTGGGCTCTTTGGACTTACACCAGTGGCTTGCCAGGGGATCTCGGGCCTTGCAGACCAAAGGCTGCACTCTGAGCTTCCCTACTTTTGAGGTTTTGGGACTTGGACTGGCTTCCTTGCTCCTCAGCTTGCAGATGGCCTACTGTGGGACTTCATCTTGTGACTGTGTGAGTCAATTCTCCTAATAAAGTCACCTTTATATATATATACATATTTCCCATTAGTTCTGTTCCTCTAGAGAACCCTGACTAATACAACAGTTATAGAAAAATAAAGAGAAAAGAGATTAAGCAAATAGTGAGGGACTGGAAGAATCTTGAACACGAGGAAGAGGAAAAAAGCAACAAACATATGAACTATAATAGCGAATCAATTAAATGACTTAATATTTACCTTATCCTTCCTTGATACTCCCTAGATAACAATTCCTAAATACGTTTGATCTAAATTTTACTAGCTAATCTTCATTCATTCATTCAATTAATATAACCAAAATTTATTGAGTACACCAAAAGGACAAACTCTATGTGTCATGCTCTGTATAATGCTAGAAAACAACAACAACAACAAAAACTCCTGCTTCTGTGGGGAAATACATATTGACTAAATCATCAAGCACAATAATCTGACATTGCAATGACACAACTGCAACTAAGGAGAGACATTAGGTGCTATGATCTGACTACGAAATTCAGGAAAGGGTGCCCTTCCATTAGAATAAAGGACAATCATTTTCTCAGTGAATAGAATGGGAGAAGTATTCAACATATGGAATGAACATGTGTAACTCTTTGCAAGAATAAATATAAGTATCTGAACTCATGGAAAGTCAGAATAAGTGGAAAAGATAAATAAAAAGAGAATTATGAAGCCAGTGATAGTTGGAAATGACAGTAGGAGTCAAAGCAAGCAGCAGCTTCTAACCTTCTTAATGGGAATGAACTGAGGTTTTACAGAGATTACTCTGAGTATATTGGGGAAAAGCTAAAGAAATTATCCAGTTGAGAGAGAGTGGTAGTTTGGAAAAGATATTTAGTGGTGGAAATGAAGACATATGAACAGAATAGAGAGACACATTTAAGATATAATTAATAGAAAACAACAGGGACATATGTTTCATAAAGAAGTTTCCAAACAATACATTTAGGTAGTGATATGATTTGGCTCTGTGTCCCCACTCAAATCTCATGTCAAATTGTAATCCCCACATATTAGAAGAGGGGCCTGGTGGGAGGTGATTGGGTAATGAGGGCAGATTTCTTCCTTGCTGTTCTCATGATTGTGAGTTTTCATGAGATCTGATGGTTTAAAGGTGTATCGTGCTTCCTCCTCCCCTCTGTCTCCCGTGCTTTGCCATGATGAGACGTGCTTGCTTCCCCTTTGCCTTCTGCTATGGTTGTAAGTTTCCTGAGGTCTCTCAACCATGCTGTTAAGTCTGTGGAACTGTGAGTCAATTAAACCTCTTTTTTTTTCATAAATTGCTCAGTCTCAGGTAGTTTTCTATAGCACTATGAGAACAGACTAATACAGAAAATTTGTACCAGGAGCAGGGCACTACTATAAAGATACCTGAAAATATGGAAGTGTGTAAGTTTCCTTTTGCACTGCTGATAAAGACATATCCAAGACTGGGCAATTTACAAAAGAATGTGGTTTATTGTACTTACAGTTCCACATGGCTGGGGAGGCCTCACAATCATGGCAGAAGGCAAGGATGAGCAAGTCACATCTCATGTGGGTGGCATCAGGCAAAGAGAGAACTTGCACAGGGACACTCTCATTTTTAAAACTATCTGATCTCACAAGACTAATTCACTACCATGAGAACAGCAAAGGAAACACCCACCCCCATAATTCAATCACCTTCCACTAGGTTCCTCCCATAACATGTGGGAATTGTGGGAGTTACAATTCAAGATGAGATTTGGGTGGGGACACAGAGCCAAACCATAACATTCCACCCCTGCCCCTCCCAAATCTCATGCCTTCAAATTTCAAACTCAATCTTGCCTTCCCAACAGTTCCCCAAAGTCTTAACTCATTTCAGCATTAACTCAAAATTCAATAGTCCAAAGTCTCAGATGAGACAAGGAAAGTCCTTTATGCCTGTGAACCTGTAAAATCAAAAGCAAGTTAGTTACTTCCTAAATACAACTGGAGTCCAGGCATTGGGTAAATATACCCATTCCAAATGGGAGAAATTGGCCAAAACAAAGGAGCTACAGGGCCCAAGCAAATCCAAAATCCAGCACGGCAGTCAAACCTTAAAGGTCCAAAATGATCTCCTTTGATGCCATGTATCACATCCAGGTCACGCTGATGCAAGAGGAGGGTTTTCATGATCTTGGGCATCTCCACCTCTGTAGCTCTGCAGAGCACAGGCTCCCTGCCAGCTGCTTTCAATGGGCTGGTGTTGAGTGTCTATGGCTTTTCCAGGTGCAAAACGCAAGCTGTTGGTGGATCTACCATTCTGGGGTCTGGAGGACAGTGGCCCTCCTCTCACAGCTCCACTAGGCAGCACCCCAGTAAGGACTCTGTGTTGGGGCTCTCACCCCACATTTCCCTTCTGCAGTACCCTAGTAGAGGTTCTCCATGAGCGCCTCGCCCCTAGCAAACTTTTGCAGGCACATTCAGGGATTTCCATACATCTTCTGAAATCTAGGCAGAGGTTCCCAAACCTCAATTCTTGACTTCTGTGCACCCACAGGCTAAACACCTTGTGGCTTTCATCCTCTGAAGCCACAGCATAAGCTGTACCTTGGCCCCTTTAAGTCATGGCTGGAGCAACTGGGACACAGGGTACCAATTCCCTAGACTATACACAGCATGGTGACCCTGGACCTGCCCATATTTTCCTCCTAGGCCTCTGGGCCTGTGATGGGAGGGGCTGCTGTGGAGACCTCTGACATGCCCTGAGACATTTTTCCCATTGTCTTCGGGATTAACATTTGGCTCCTCGTTATGCAAATTTCTGCATCTGGCTTGAATTTCTCCCCAGAATATGGGATTTTCTTTCATATCACATTGTCAGGCTGCAAATTTCCCAAACTTTTATGCTCTGTTTTCCTTATAAAACTGAATTCCTTTAACAGCATCCAAGTCACCTCTTGAATGCTTTGCTGCTTGGAATTTTTTTCTGCCAGTTACCCCCAATCATCTCTCTCAAGTTCAAAGTTCCACAAATCTCTAGGGCAGGGGCAAAATGCTGCCAGTCTCTTTGCTAAAACATAACAAGAGTCACCTTTGCTCCAGTAGCCAAGTTTTCATCTCCATCTGATACCACCTCAGCCTGGATTTCATTGTCCATATCATTATCAGCATTTTGGCCAAAGCCATTCAACAAGTATCTAGGGAATTCCAAACTTTCACACATTTTACTCTCTTCTTCTGAGCCTTCCAGACTGTTCCAACCTCTGCCTGTTACCAAGTTCCAAAGTCACTTACTTCCACATTTTCAAGTATCTTTTCAGCAGTGCCCTACTCTACAGGTACCAATTTACTGTATTAGTCTGCTTTCATGCTGCTGACAAAGACATACCCAAGACTGGGCAATTTACAAAAGAATGTGTTTATTGGACTTACAGTTCCACACGGGTGTGGAGGCCTCACAATCATGGCAGAAGGCAAGGAGGAGCTAGTCACATCTTATGTGGATGGCAGCAGGTGAAGAGAGAGGTTGTACAGGGAAACTCCCATTTTTAAAACCATCAGATCTCATGAGACTCATTCACTTCATGAGAACAGCGCAGGAAAGACCCACCCCCATAATTCAATCACCCCACTGGGTTCCCCCCACGACACATGGGAATTGTGGGAGTTAAAATTCAAGATGAGATTGGAGGGGGACACAGCTAAACCATATCAGGAAGCAACTTTGTAACTGGGTAATGGGAAGATGTTGGAACAGTTTGGAGGCCTCTGAAGAAGACAGGGTGATTTGGGAAATTTGGAACTTCCTAGAAAATTGTTGAATGGTTTTGGCCAACATGTCAATAGTGATATGGACAATGAAATCCAGGCTGAGGTGGTCTCAGATGGAGATGAGGAACTTACTAGGAACTGGAACAAGAGTCACTCTTGCTATGCATTAGCAGCATTTTGCCCCTGTCTTAGACATTTTTGGAGCTTTGAACTTGAGAGAGATGATGTAGGGTATCTGGCAGAATGAATTTCTAAGCAGCATGGCCTGGTTGTTTCTAAAAGTGTGCATTCATATGCATGAAGAAATAGATAGTCTGAAATTATAATTGTATTTAAAAGGGAGGAAGAGCCAAAAACAAAAAAGTTTGGAAAATTTGCACTCTGGCCATGTGGTAAAAAAGAAAAGCCCATTTTCTGGGGAGAAATTCAAGCTGGCTGCCAAAATTTGCATAAATAATGGGGAACCAAATGTTAATAGCCAAGACCATGGGAAAAATATCTCCAGGGCATTTAAGAGACCTTTGCCACAGCCCCTCCTGTTATAGGCACAGAGGTCTAGGAGAGAAAAATGGTTTCATGGGCCAGGCCCAGGGCCCCACTACTCTGTGGCATCTCAGAACATGCCATTCTGTGTCCCAGATGCTCCAGCTCCAGCTGTGGCTAAAGGGGGCCAAGGTACAGCTCAGGCCATTGCTTCAGAGGGTGCAAGCCCTAAGCCTTTGTGGCTTCCGTGTGGTGTTGGGCCTGAAGGTATGCAGACAGCAAGAGTTAAGGTTTGAGAACCTTTGCCTAGATTTCAGAGGATGTATTGAAATACCTGGATGTCCAGGCAGAAGTCTGCTGCAGGGGCAGGGTCCTCATGGAAAACCTCTACTAGGGCACTGCAAAGGGAAAATGTAGGGTTGGAACTCCCACACAGAGTCCTTACTGGGGCACTGACTAGTGGAGCTGTGAGAAGAGGACCAGTGTCTTCTAGACCCTGGAATGGTAGGTCCACTGACAGTTTGCACCATGTACCTGGAAAAGCTGCAGGCACTTAATGCCAGCTTGTGAAAACAGTCAAGGAGGTTGTACCTTGCAGAACCATGAGGGCTGTACCCTGCAGAACCAAGGCCTTGGGAGCTCACCTCTTACATCAGCATGCCCTGGATGGGAGACATGTAGTCAAAGGAGATTATTTTGGAGCTTTAAGATTTAATGACTGCCCTGTTGGGTTTCAGACTTTCATGAGGCCTGTAGTTCCTTTGATTTGGACAATTTCTCTTTTTTAGAATGGGAACATTTACCCAATGCCCGTACTTCCATTGTATCATGGAAGTAATTAACTCATTTTTGATTTTGCCGGCTCATAGGTGGAAGGGACTTCCCTTGTCTTGGATGGGACTTTGAACTTGAACTTTTGTGTTAGTGCTGGAATGAGTTAAGACTTTGGGGTACTGTTGGGTTTTGAAATGTGAGAAGAACATGAGATTTGGGAGGGGCCAGGAGTGGAATGATATGGTTTGGCTCTGTGTCCCCACCCAAATCTCACGTTGACTTGTAATCCCCATGAGTCAAGGGAGGAGGCTAGGGAGAAGTGATTGTATCATGAGGGTGGATTTCCCACTTGCTATTCTCATGATAGTGAGTGAGTTCTCATAAGATCTGATGGTATAAGTGTGTGTGGTACTTTCTCCTTCTCTCTCTCTCTCCTGCTTCACCACGGTAAGATGTGCTTGCTTCCCCTTCAACTTTCACCATAATTGTAAGTTTCCTAAGGCATCTCAGCCATGCTTCCTGTTAAACCCTTGGAACTGTGAGTCAATTAATCCTCTTTTCTTCATAAATTACCCAGTCTCAGGTAGTTCTTTATAGCAGTGTGAAAACAGACTAATACGTGTAGCATCCTCCTCTGCAAGGTGGAGATTAACTCCTCTCCCCTTCAAGAAGTATGGGTAAGATTTAGTGATGCACTGTCAACATGAAAAGGGAAAAATGGAGCATATGGACTGAGAAAATAGTAATTTTACAGTGGAGAGTTCTGGCAGACACCATCTTAATCAAGTGATCAAAGTTAACATCACTGGTAATAAGCCATGTTGACATCATGTATCCTTTGATACAATATGACACCTCAGAAGAAAACACTGGATTTTTTTCCATAAAACCCCATAATCATAAGAAAACACAGACAAACCAAACTAAGAGGTGTTCTAAAACTACTGACCAATACCCTTAAAAAGAATTAAGGACACGAAAAATAAAGAGAAAGACTGAAAAACTGTCCTTATTTCTTTCATTATGCAGGAAAAAAATCCTAATCCAGTTTGTAATGTAATGAGTATTCCAGAAAATGCAAGTGACAGTAATTCCTCAGTTGAGACTAGGCTAATAGGAAGTTCTAATTTAATGTTTGTTATCCTGTACATGAGAGAATGTCCTGTTACCTTAGGTGTAGTATTGCTTACAAGGATGATTAGTGTAGTAGACAAAATTTGAAGGAGAATTATTTGATGGAAAATTTAGTGGCTTAAGTAATATATTAGAAATGTGGCACAGGTTTTTTAATCTGGTTAAAATTTCTGATTTCAAATGTATAGTGGGATTAATTTATGATACCTTTAAAAAAATTGATGCCTTGTGCCTATGATGTAAGTACAAAAGGAGTAGACACCTGTGCTCACCCATACCCATGTGAGTATGCAGCCACATGAATGTGAACAACAGGGAGACTAGTCAAGAGAATTTTGGCTAATTTGCAAGTAAAATTATATATTACAGAACCTGAAGTGTTCACGGAGAAGGAAGAGAGAACAGTAAATATATAAACTCGTTAGATTTAGCAATTAAATATTGGTTACTTACAAGGAAATAGGTTCAATAATGTGATATGACTTCTCAGTGCAGAGGAAATGGAGACAATAATTTTACACAATAATTAATAATACATTCTTTTTAAAAAAATTTTATTATACTTTTCTGGGATACATGTGCAGAACATGCAGGTTTTTTTCATAGGTATGCATGTGCCATGGTGGTTTGCTGCATCCATCAACCTGTCATCTACATTAGGTATTTCTCCTAATGCTATCCCTCCCCTAGCCCTCCACCCCCCGACAGGCCCCGGTGTTTGATGTTCCCCTCCTTGTGTCCATGAGTTCTCATCGTTCGACTCCCACTTATGAGTGAGAACATGCAGTGTTTGGCTTTTCTCTTCCTGTGTTATATTGCTGAGAATGATGGTTTCCAGCTTTATCCATGTCCCTGCAAAGGACTTGAATTCATTCTTTTTTATGGCCGCATAGTATTCCAGGTGTATATGTGCCACATTTTCTTTATCCAGTCTATCATTGATGGGCTTTTGGGTTGGTTCCAAGTCTTTGCTATTGTGAACAGTGCTGCAATAAACATATGTGTGCATGTATCTTTAAAGTAGAATGATTTATAATCCTTTGGGTATATACCCAGTAATGGGATTGCTGGGTCAGATGGTATTTCTGGTTCTAGAACCTTGAGGAATTGCCAAACTGTCTTCCAGAATGGTTGAACTAATTTACACTCCCACCATCAGTGTAAAAGCATTCCTATTTCTGCCCATCCTCTCCAGCATCTGTTGTTTCCTGACTTTTTAATGATCGCCATTCTAACTAGCAGGAGATGGTATCTCATTGCGGTTTTGATTTTCATTTCTCTAATGACCAGCGATGATGAGGTTTTATTCATATGTTTGTTGGCTGCATAAATGTCTTCTTTTCTGAAGTGTCTGTTCATATTCTTCGCCCACTTGTTGATGGGGTTGTTTTTTTCTTGTAAATTTGTTTAAGTTCCTTGTAGATTCTGGATATTAGCCCTTTGTCAGATGGATAGATTACAAAAATTTTCTCCCGTTCTGTAGCTTGCCTGTTCATTCTGATGATAGTTTCTTTTGTTGTGCAGAAGCTCTTTAGTTTAATTAGATCCCATTTGTCAATTTTGGCTTTTGTTGCCATTGCTTTTGGTGTTTTAGTCATGAAGTCTTTGCCTATGCCTATTTCCTGAATCGTATTGCCTACATTTTCTTCTAGGGTTTTTATGGTTTTGGGTCTTATGTTTAAGTCATTAATCCATCTTGAGTTAATTTTTTTTTATTAATAATACATTCTACACTACAACGAAGCAGAGAAAATCACTGAAGGTAATTTTTTAAGGCTATGGCTAATCTAACAGCTTTAATGTAAATAGATGTTTAACAAAATTTTTACTGTTTCATTCCAAGTAATCACCATAGGTGAAAACACAAAGTTTACATTCTAAAGATAACTGATAGATATGACTTATTTGGATATAACAAGGAATAGCAGAATAACCCAGCAACCGCAAGTATAACTTTGCCCAATCACTACTCCTCACACTTACAGAAGATATCACCTGAATAATTGGATGGATAAGTCTGGAGTTTTCAGGAGGACTGCATTCATGGTAAAAAGTTCTTTACCATGGAGAAAAAAGGTCTATATTTCCCCAAACATAGTGAGGAGGTTTTAAAATGTTCTACAGTGTTAGGACGTTCCTATAGAAAGAAGGGACTGACATTTAATTCTCTGATTGAATGCTGCTAAATTAAGTGACTTGGTGATCTGCATTGTGTGCCTACTTTTGTTTACAGGAAGATAAGTCAACGATATCAGAGAAAAGAGACAGGATTCATTAGTGAGAGCCATTTGGCATGAAAAGAATATGTGATTTTCCCGAACGTCTAAGTGTTTCAAGAAGGTTAGCTTGAGCTTTCTTACTAGGACAGAATGTAGCAACTTTCATAAGGAAACCAGAAGAAATAGAGAGTGTTCACAGAGAAGGTCACATCACAACACATTTTCTGTGTCAGAGAAATACACAATGGGATGTCCTATGACATTCCACCTATTAAAGTCATACAAGCACTCATGAAAGAGCCAGAATCTGAGCATGGATGGTCAAGTCAAGAATTGCAAAAATACCATCTTATGTAGGACATTTTTTTTCCTCTTTCCTTTCTACCCCACTTAAGTGCTGTGATTTGAAGATCCAAGTGAAAAAAAGATTAGCTGATGGAAACTGAAAAATAATGATATACTTCCTCTCCATGCCTAGTCATTAATGTCAAGACTGTCTACCACTGGGATGTTAATAACGTACAAAATTGAAATTTAAGATAAAATAAACTTTGATCACTCTACTTTATAGGTACAAGTGGATAGTAACCAATGGGATATACCTATGTTGCTGTAATGGAAGTTGGAAAAAACATATCTGAAGACAGTAGTCAAGAAAAATAAAATTATTTCATTGAATTTACTGTCCAACAAATTGGTTTTCTGTATAAGGCTTTGGTAAGAAGTGTAGAGGTAAAATGTTGAAAAACAAATTTTTTAACAGCAGAACCAAAGAAATAGGAATAATATTATAAAGAACATAAACTTTAACATATGATTTGGATAACAGAAAAATTTCTTAATAAAAAATGGACAAGTAAAAGATTATGAGATTGTGAGAATAATCAAAAAATATCACTGCGTGTGATGGCCCATGCCTGTAATTCTAGCACCTTGGAGGCCTAAGCAGGAGGATTGCCTGAGCCCAGGAGTTTGAGACCATCCTGGACAACACAGGAAGACATGTGCATCCTCCATCTTTAAAAACAGAAAAAAAAGCCTGGGTTTGAACCTCCGTGCAGCAAATAAAGTCATTATTTGCCAAATGTATGGAACATGTACATCATGTAACTAATGTATGGAATATGCCTAAAGCATGGAATATATTACATTGAGTAAAAATCTTCAATTATAGCATGTTTTACTGGGAGATAGCAATGGAAAATTCTAATACGTAAAGCGTATTAGAATTAGTGACAGAGTCACCTAAAGACATAGTGCCTTTACATATTAGACATCAATTTGTCACCTAAATACAAAATGGCTTTATATATTAGACATCAATTTGTCACCTAAAGACATAGTGGCTTCAAATATTGAAGTAGTAGATTATCATTGCCTTCTTAGTTTCTACTACAGCATAAAAATATCATATCTTTTCTACTACAGCATAAAATATCATATCTTTATCAGGCATCACTTCATTACACTGAAATGGAGAATAATTGGCAATGTCAACCCAGCTGGAAGCTGTAGCCTGTCAAGCATTATGGGCACTGAGAGTATTAGTAAACTAGTGACTACATAAATTCTTTCAGTATTTGAATATTTCTTATAGGCATGAATGAATTAACAACATTTCTGTAGTTGATATCATAACCTGTAAGTGTTAAGAGTTAACTCTATTTTTTTATTTGGGACAAACTACACTTTTAGAGTTCACAGTTAATAGTTTTAGATGTTCAAAGCAGCTGTATTAACATATCCTCTGAGTAGATTACCACTTTTGACATTTGACTTTAGAGGCAATCATAGTTTCTCTAATTACTCTTGAAGAGGTAAGAAACTTAGTATTCTCTCCAAAGATGGCTTATATACAAACAAATCTCTATTATGTTTCCTTATGAAGAACAATTAGCCTTGTCTTTCTTTCTGTGTCAAGAGATAACTATCTGGTGTGTCCGTCACCAACTGTGCATTAAAGATTCAAAAACAGTTGTCAAACATTATGCCCCCTTCATCTAGTTAGGCATTGTTAGGCTAAATCAGCATAAGGGGATCATAGATCATTTCTTGTGTGTTTTTCCTCTTAATCTGAGATAGCATTCATGATTGATAGTTTTTTAATTGCTAATCATGCTCTCATTTTTCTTCCTACAACCAGAATCACATAATTGTGTTACAGTTATTGAACATATCACTTACTTGGTAGACTTTGTCAAATGTTGTTAATGGTTCAAGTACAAGATTTCTACTGCCAATTGCCTTGTAGTCCCTGTGATGCACCCCATCTGGCCTTTCATATTTTTAGCAACACAATATTGTAATATCAAATTCCTCTCATTCTTACTTTTAACTTTCTGTAACAGACATATACCGCTATGCCTTTCCTTTTATACCAGTTGATTATAATTATACTTTTTTGTTTCTGATTTTTTCTTAGAATTAAGTGTTATATATCACTTTATTTACTAAGCAGAATATCGTAAGTTTTATACAAGAGATTTTAAATGCCATTTGAGAACTACCCATTCGCATTGAGCCTAGAACTGTTTGATCCGTTTCACATTTCCTTGCAAAGAGATAAATCTAAGATAATATCTTCACAATACACTAGACTTTAATGGACACATAACATAAAATTGTGTTTTTGTGAGTTTAATTGGTGAAGTTTCTCATGTGACCACATTAAAATACTGTTTGGATAAAAGGAAAACAAAAACAGGACATCTTCCAAAGTAAAAATAAGATGCAGCTGGAAAGAAAAAAAAATTAACCCTGTCGATGTTATTGTAAAAGTTGAGCAGTTTATCCAAAAATCTATTCCCAAATATCAGGAAAGAATGTTGGATCGGGCGTACGTGAAGAATGTGGAGTGCCAAATAAAACATTCTAAACAATCCATTTCATATGTTTAATAGAAGAGAACTTAACAATAGTAATAATGAACATAGGGTTAGAATCCTGACACGATAATGCTATTTTGGAATATTTTGGAAATATTCTCATATATTAGGATATAAATTATAAGTCATAAATAAAGCATTTTAAGTATTCAGATATAATTTCTTATATAGAACAAAACAAATTTTGGCTTCACTGCTAGAAAATCTGCAAAACTCAACATTGGACAAAGATACCACAAAGAATGAAATGAGGCAGTTCAGAGAACACTGGAGAGCACAAATAGTTAAAATACGGTTATAATTAAATGAATAAGTGGTAAAATTAAGTCAAATTGGTTACATATCCTTGTAACTGAAGTTGGACTATATCTTGCTGAAAGGGAGGATCACGAGGTAGGGAGTTCAAGACCAGCCTGACCAACATGGTGAAACCCCGTCTCTACTAAAAATACAAAAATTAGCCGGGCATTGTGGCCTGTGCCTGTAATCCCAGCTACTCAGGAGGCTGAGGCAGGAGAATCGCTTCAACCCAGGAGACAGAGGTTGCAGTGAGCTGAGATCACGCCACTGCACTGCAGCCTGGGGGACAGAGAGAGACTCCGTCTCAAAAAAATAAAAATAAAATAAATAAATAAATAAATAACATGGATTAGTACTGTTTATGCAAAAAGTCGCTAATCCAGATGGTATAGGAATTATGTTTAATGGAAGACTGTACAAAATATTTAGAGCTTACATATCAGGTACCGGCAGGAAACAAATTATTCACTTAGACTGGATTTTAATGGAAGTTTAATAAAGGAACTTGATATGGTGTGTCTTTGTCTCCACCCAAATCTCATCTTGTATTGTAGCTCCCATAATCCCCATGTGTTGTGGGATGGACTGGATGGGAGGCAATTGAATCATGGGCAGATTTTCCCATGCTCGTGATATGCTTATCTCATGATAGTGAATAAGTCTCATGAGATCTGATGGTTTTATAAAGGGCAGTTCCCCTGCACACACTCTGTTGCCTGCTGCCATGTAACAAGTGCTTTTGCTCCTTGTTCACCTTCTGCCATGATTGTGAAGCCTCCCCAGCCATATGGAACAGTGAGTTCATTAAGCCTCTTTTTCTTTATAAATTATCCACTCTCAGGTATTTCTTCATAGCAGTACGAAAATGGACTAATAAAGGACTAATTACAAAAGATGAGCAGAAATTTGGGGAATACAATAACAGGTGCTGGCGATGTTGTGGAGGAAAATAATGCTTGTACATTGTTGGAAGGAGTGTAAATTAGTTCAACCACTGTGGGAGGCAGTGTGATGATTCCTCAGATAGCTAAAAAGAGAACTACCATTCGACCCTGCAATGCCATTACTGGATATACCCAAAGGAATATAGATTGTTGTATCATAAGGACACAGGCATGCATATGTTCATTAAAGCACTATTAATAATAGCAAAGACATGGATTCAACCTAAACACTCATCAATGATAGGTTGGATTAAGAAAATCTGGTACATATATACTATGAAATAATATGCAGCCATAAATATAAATGAGACCATGTCTTTTACAGGGAGATGGATGGAGCCGGAGGGTGTTATCCTTAGCAAACTAACGCAGGAACAGAAAACCAAATACCAAATGTTCTCACTTATAAATAGGAGCTAAATGATGAGAACATACGGACACAGAGACCAGAACAACAGACTACCAGACAGTGGAGGGTAGGAAGAGGGAGAGAATCAGGAAAAATAACGAATGGGCACTAGGCTTAATACCTGGGTGATGAAATGATCTGTAAGACAGATCCCTGTGACATGAGTTTACCTGTATAACAAGCCTGCACATGTACCCCTAAATCTAAAATAAAAGTTAAAAATATTAATATCCTGAATGTTCTCTCCAGCATGAAATCTCATGCAAGCATCTTCTATTAACCAAAATCTAATGGAAGTCCAAGGCTAAGGATGCCTGGCATTGTCCACACAGATGAGTCTACCAGAGCACAGAGCAGGGTGGAGAATGGATGTGGTACAGCACATTAATGGTTTTCGAATAACAGTAAAGTAATTTCATTATACTATGTGGATGTAAGGCAAACCAGGATATCTTCCAAAGCAAGAATAAAATACAGATGGAAATAGACACCAGAATGTTGAGTTTATATTTAGATAACATAATAGAACCCCTTTGTAAAAGAGGGTAAATTTGTGGTCATTTCATGGAGGTGAACTGGACCTCCCACCCCCAACAAAATGTGGTTCTGATGTTGAGACTAATGGATACCATGTATATACCAAGAGTGTAAGAACAAATTTAGATTCACATGCAAAGGCTTTCTGGGGTGAACAGGCAGGCTGTCTTGCAGGTCTGCAAACGAGTTTCACTGGAGAGCAGGAGGGGTGGCTACTTTAGGATTTTATGGTAGGTAATTGGTGGGGCTTGTATTAGTTAGAGTTCCCATGCATATAAGGGAACACTTGATCTTTCTTATCATCTCACTCAGATGTGTGACAGAGTGAAAGGGAAGGTGGTTTGGCTTAAAAGCTAACAGCAGTATAAAAAACAAAAATGGAATCAGACTGTTTATTCCAGTAAAGAACATGAAAAGATGCATAAAAATATATAAATGATCAAAATATAGGAGGAACAATCAGCCATTACAGTAATCAAGAACATGCAAATTGTTTTGAGAACATATATATGGGCAATTCCTTTTTCTTGGTTTATTTTGCACTGCTCATCAACTTTGTATTTGTTTAGTTTATTTAGTATATCTATATCGTTCCTTTATAATTTCCACGTAAACTCCTGTAGGAAATTTTCTATTATGCCTTCTACTGCATTACCAAAATCTGTAGAGTGCCTGACGCACAAGGAACTTCTAGGAAGTTGATGAATGAAAACGTTATTATCTAGTTACCTCTCAAACAATTATGTAATTGTCTGGATATAAACAGCTCTAACGATTTTTTTTTCCAAATTGTTAGTAATCATTAATATTGAAGAAGAGAGATCATATGAATATGGTTGGGTAAACTTTGTGGTTTTTTTTGTTTGTTTTTTGTTTTTGAGATGGAGTCTCGCTCTGTTGCCCAGGCTGGAGTGCAGTAGCTCAATCTTGGCTCACTGCAACCTCCACCTCCCAGGTTCAAGTGGTTTTCCTGCCTCAGTCTCCCAAGTAGCTGAGATTACAGGCGCCCGCCATCACACCTGGCTAAATTTTTGTGTGTATTTTTAGTAGAGACAGAGTTTCGGGGTTTTGCCATGTTGGTCAGGCTCATCTTGAACTACTGGCCTCAAAAGATCGGCCGCCTCGGCCTCGCAAAGTGCTGGGATTACAGCGGTGAACCACTGCACCCAGCCTGGTCGGGTAACCTTTGATTTCACATTTATTCTACATGCTTTGATGTTGATTGACTTCTAATAAAATATTTACTCGTTACCTTTGTAATTTTCAAAAGTCTACTTTCTTTAATTTGAAGAGTCAACAAAGTAAATGTTCAGTATTGATAAAGAAATTGAGCATGAGATTTGCTAGTGGTTTCATTGCAGTTTACTTATATATAAGCAGTGCAGTAATAGGCTTCAATATGTAAAAAATGAATGCATAATTCTGTAAGCCAGACTTATATTGCTATCTGGGTATGTTTTTGTTTCTAAGCTTTTGCAATGTTTTGATCTTGTCAAGTAAGACCAATGTTTTCTAGGACAAGGAGAGAAATATGTTCTACCTGGATATAAAAATGTGTCTCAGTCAAGCACTATCTTCCTTAATAGATTACAAAGATTTCTGAATTCAATAATAGAAGAGAAATACTAAGATAAAGAATTGAGATGTCATCATAATTGTTGTCCTTGAATAAAATGATAAATATCAGGTATATTTAAAGTGAAATAAATTTCAATGATAATTGAAATGATCATTCATTTACATTAAACTGGTATCATCATCCAAATATATATGAACACAATAAAGAAAACTTCCCATGGGGATTTTTCCAACGGTCACTAAAATAAGACCATTATTTTAGTGAAGGAGTTTGAGGAAATTTCCAAAAGCTGGATTTAATTCATAAGTCTTATTTAAATATTTATTTCATTAAATATTTTCAATTATGTAATATGTGTCTAATTTAACATTAGGTTATATAATAAAAGTAGCACAAATAATATGAAATTCAATACTATATGCAGTTGCATGGTTGAATTATGAATTAGGAGAAAGGTTATATTAAATTAAAACATAATTAGCTTTTTGGCTTTTATACTAATTTGTACAGAGACTGGATATACAGACTCTGCATAATCAAGTATCCATAGGAAATATAGTACACTTTAAATTCTAAATGCTCATGTTAATATAGCAACCTTTTCAAAATATATTTTGTGTATGATATTATATTTCTATTTTACACCTAATACCTACACATAATATTAGGTAACTTCAAACTTTAAGTTCTATAAATGATTGCTGTATTCCACAATGTTGGGCCTAACTGATGAAGAGGATGACATATAGCAGACAGAAGTGGACTAAAACTCAGTGGTTTATTTTCTCTATTTCATTTGACATATATTTTACATGATTAACTTTGGTTGTGCATGTCTGTGCTTGGGTTTCTTTATATATAATATTATTATATTTTATATATTTATATATAATGTTATATTTTAATAACACTTTATTTTATAATTTAAAATATTTTATAATATTTTAATATTTTATAGTATAAAATCTTATATTTAATAACATTATATTTTAATAATATTTTAAATGTGAATATGTAATTACATGCATATTAAAAATGTGAAGCTGGAGAGGAGGAAATATTTAAATAATGATCATTAATCTGTGTCCCAAACATTTCAATGGCTGTTTGACCTTTGGCCAATGGAAACATAAATGTTGCAATTGCTTTGACAATATTTTTTCCTATAACCTTCTTCTAAATTGGGCATCTTGACAAATTGCCTATGAGTTTGGCATTTTCATGCAACATGGATTTAATATCATGTACTTTACCTAATGCACAACCTAATGAATAAAGAATAAATCTAGCTATGTTGACAATAGTGAAGAAAATGGATACACATATATACAAACAGACATGCTTACATACACGTCATGGTGATTTAAGGAATTTTCTTTTAAATTTGATAAAATGTACTGACTGCTTTAATCACACATTTAGCATCTAATTGCCATGCCTATATGAATTACATTGATGATACTAAAGTAAAAAGAGATTAGATGTTATCAATTAAGACTTTGTGTATGAAATCACTCAGAAAATCTAGTGTGCAATCTCTGTCATGATGCTTGATCAGTAACATTAACTCTTTAATTAAAAACAAAAGCTATCTGTAATTATAGTTTAGTGCTTAATTTGAGGTAAAGAGAAAACAGGGCCTTCATAAGAAATAATAGTAAACTTCTATCACGTTTCAGTTACAGGTTCAGAGAGAAACATTAAATCAATGTAAGGTTTTAGTTTCTTATTTCCTAGCCAATATAATCCCAGGTTTAGAACTTATTTTAAAAATATTTATAAAGTACTTATGATACAAGTTTTCTATTGATTTAGCCTCTGATATGTTCTGTCTCATCAAAGGAAATGCACAGTAAAAGTTCACATACTTCATTCTCTACATTTAAAGACCTGCACAAATCTCAGGCTTTGGAATATGGAGGAAAGAAACAGAAGTAGGCCCAAATGTTAGACCTAAATAAGTTTTTTTTCAGTGACTAAGCTTCTAAGTCCTATACTATTGAATATTTGTAAGATGGCACATCATTTAAAATAAAGCATTTCAAAGGGAGACTTTATTTATTTTTACCTTAATACATATATAACTTTTTATTTGCATTGCTACACTCTACTACTATATACAATAGAGGCAACAAAAGTAGAGCTAGGATGGAATTTCTTTGTATTAATATACCTTAAAGTTTAAACTAGCTTTTATTGTTCAATTACTTATATTAGGGCCAGGTGCGGTGACTCATGCTTGTAATCCCAACACCTGGGGAAGCCAAGGCTGGCCTATCACTTGAGGCCTAGTTCAACACCAGCCTGGCCACCATGATGAAATCCTATCTTTACTGAAAACACAAAAATTATCTGGGCATGGTGGCGGGTGCCTGTTAATTCCAGCTACTCAGGAGGCTGAGGCAGGAGAATCACTTCAACCTGGGAGGTGGAGGCTACAGTGACCCAAGATTGCCCCACTGCACTTGAGCCTGGGCGACAGAGCAAGATTGTTTAAAAAAAAAATTATCGCTGGGCTCGGTGGCTCACACCTGTAATCCTAGCACTTTGGGAGGCCAAGGCAGGTGGATCACAAGGTCATGAGATTGAGACCATCCTGGCCAACATGATGAAACACCATCTCTACTAAAAATACAAAAAAAATTAGCTGGGCATGATGGCACGCACCTGTAGTCCCAATTACTCGGGAGGCTGAGGAAGGGGAATCACTTGAACCTGGGAGGCAGAGGTTGTAGTGAGCTGAGATCGCACTACTGCACTCCAGCCTGGCAACAGAGTGAGACTCCGTCTCAAAAAAAAAAAAAAATTACTTACATATGAAATCTGAAAACATTATGATAATATTAGCAACAAAAAATAGTGATTTAAGTTACAGGTATGCCTCATTTTATTGTGCTTTGCTGTATTCCATTTAGCACATAGTGTGATTTTTTTTTTTAAACAAATTGAAGGTTTGTGGCAACTCTATGTTGAGCATGCCTATCAGTGACATTTTCCCATTGCTCGCTTTGTGCATCTGTGTCACATTTTGGTAATTCTTGTAATATTTTAAACTTTTATTATTATATCTGTTATGGTGATCTGTGATCAGTGATTTTTGAGGTTACTATTGTAATTGTTTGAGAGTACCAGGAACCGTGCCCATATAAGAGGTTGAATTTCATCTGTGAATGTGTTTGTTCTGGCTGTTCCTCAGATGGGCTGTCCTCATCACTCTTTCCCTCCTTGGGTCTCCCTGATTTTCTGAGAACAACTTTGTTGACATTAGGCCAATTATCAACCCTTCAATGGCCTCTTAAGTGTTCAAATGAAAGGAAGAGTCACATGTCTGTCACTGTAAATACAAATCTAG
This sequence comes from Homo sapiens, assembly GCF_000001405.40. Classification (NCBI taxonomy): domain Eukaryota; kingdom Metazoa; phylum Chordata; class Mammalia; order Primates; family Hominidae; genus Homo; species Homo sapiens. Next base: position 85,194,591 of record NC_000013.11, read on the forward strand.
AAATGATTAAGCTTAATGAGGAAGGCATGTCAACAACTGATCTAGGCCAAAAGCTAGGCCTCTTGTGCCAGTTAGCCCAAAGGAAAAGTTATTGAAGGAAATTGAAAGTGTAATTTCTGTAAGCACACATATGATAAGAAGGCAAAACAGCCTTATTGCTGATATGGAGAAAGTTTTAGTTACCTATTTAGAAAATAAAACCAGCCACAATATTCCCTTAAGCCCAAATCTAATCCAATGCAAGACACTAACTCTCTTCAATTCTATAAATGCTGAGAGGGGTGAAGAAGCTGCAGAAGAATAGTCTGAAGTGAACAGAGGTTAGTTCATGAGTTTTTAAAAAATCAGTTGTCCCCAAAACATAAAAGTGCAAGATGAACCAACAAGTGGTGATGTAGAAGCTGCAACAAGTTATCCAGAAGATTTAGCTAAAATAATTCAAGGAGTTGTTTACACTAAACAACAAATTTTTATTGTACATGAAACAACCTTGTAGTGGAAGAAGATGCCATCTAAGACTTTCATAGCTAGATAGGAGGAGTTAATGCCTGACTTCAAAGCTTCAAAGGACAGGCTGGCTCTCTTGTTAGTGGCTAATGCAGCTGGGGCCATTCAGCTGAAGCCAGTGTTAGCTCATTATGAAAATCATATGGTCTTTAAGAATTGTGCTAAATCTCCTCTTCCTGTGCTCTAAAAATTGAGCAACAAAGCCTGGATGACAGCACATCTGTTTCAAGCATAGTTATTGAATATTTTAAGCCCACTGTTGAGACTTACTGCTCAGAAAAAAAGAATCCTTTCAAATTATTACTGTTCATTGAAAATACACCTCCTCACCCAAAAGCTCTGCTGGAGATGTACAAGATCAATGCTGTTTTTATGCCTGCTAACACAACATCTACGCTCTAACCCATGCATCAAGCAGTAATTTTGACTTTCAGGTCTTATTATCTAAGAAATGCATTTTCTAAGGCTATACCTGCTCTAGACTAGATTACTCTGATGGATTTTGACAAGGTAAATTGAGAACCTTCTGGAAAGAATTCCCCATTCTAGATGCAATTAAGAGTATTTATAATGTGTGGCAAGGTCAAAATATCAACACTAACAGGAGTACAGAAGTTAACTCCAACTATCATGGATGATTTTGAAGGGTTCAAGAATTCAGTGGAAGAAGTAACTTCAGATGTGGTGATAATAGCAAGAGAACTAGAATTAGAAGTGAAACTTGAAGATACGAATTACTGTAGTCTTATGGTAAAAATTTAAAGGATAAGGAGTTGTTTCTTATGGATGAAAAAGCAAGTGGTTTCTTCAGATGGAATCTACTCCTGCTGAAGATCCTGTGAACATTGTGGAAACGACAACAAAGGCTTTAGAATACTATATAAACTTAGTTGATAAATAGCAAGAGAATTTGAGAGAATTATCTCTAATTTTGAAAGAAGTTCTACTGGGGGTAAAATGCTACCAAACAGCATCACAGGCTACAGAGAAAACTTTTATGAAAGAAAAAGTCCATCCATGAGGCAAACTTCATTGTTAACTTATTTTAAGAAATTGTCATAGCCACCTCAACCTTTAGCAACCACCGTTCTAATCAATCAGCAGCCATTAACAGAAAGGCAAGACCCTCCACCAGCAAAAAGATTATGACTTGTTGAAGGCTCACATGATCATTAGCATTTTTTAGAAATAAGGTATTTTTAAATTAAGGTGTGTACACTTTTAATGTAGATATAATTATGCTGCACACTCAATAAACTATAGTACAGTGTAAACTTAACTTTTATATGCAATGGGATACCAAAAATATTGTAGGACTAGTTTTATTGTCCTATTTGCTTTATTGCAGTGGTCTGGAACTGAACCCACATTATCTCTGAGGTATGCCTGTATGAGCACTGATTTTTCAAAGTGATGAGCTCTATCAATTCTCCATAGTCAACCTATTTTTATAATGGATGTACTCATGTTAGTGGAGAGAGCACTGTGGTGCATTCAATTGAGTTCCTCAGAAAGGTATGCTGAAGTCCTACTCACTAGTACCTGTTAAGGTGACCTTATTTAGAATAGTGCCTTTTGAGATATAACTAGATGTAACTTAAATGGGGTCATACTTGAGTAGGGTATGTCTTTCATCCAGCATGACTGGTGTCCTCATAAGAGGAGAAGAGATACACAAACAGAAACACAGAAAAGGGAACCACATATGAAAACAAATACACAGATGGAAGATGGCCATATGACTATGGAAACAGATTGGAATTATGCAGCTGCAAACCAAGGAATGCCAAAGATTACTGACAACCTATAGAAGCTTGACGACAGTGCATAGTCTTACTCACAACTTGATTTCAGACTTCTAGCCTCTAGAAATGTGAGAAAGTAAATGTATGAGTTTTATAAGCCAGCCAGTTTGTGGTAGTTTGTTGTGGCAATCCTAGGAAATGACTATAAGGCCCTGGTACCATCTGAATGAAAGTCAGTGTCTCAGGTCATCTATCCTGTTATCCTCAATATTAGCTCTACAAAGCAGTCTATCTGTATGCTGCAGTGAAACCAGGTGCAATAGAAAGGGAGAACAACGCACCAGTCTTCTGAAAATGCATGCTATTTGAAAAAGAGAGAGTCTTGTGACTGTTCCTGATGAAATACTTCTTGTTTCTAATCCCTTGAATACTAGATGTGTATAGATTCAGATAAGTTGTCACCTAAACACCAGGAGTTCAGTCTAGGTCCTGTTGGTCTCCCCACAGAAAGCCAATCACTAAGACAATGGGTATTGACATGCTTTATTCAAGTGCTGCAGCCAAGGAGAATGGGAGATCAGTCTCAAATGCATCTCCCCAACTGACTACAATTGGGGGTTGATTTAGCAGGGAAGGATTGTAACTTAAGTGTGGGAAAACAGGAATTAAGGAGGGTTAAAGAAGATAAGTTAGCCAACAGGAAGGAGGTGGTCAGTTAGGCAATCGTGATGGGTGAGGGGTCTGACATCTCATTGTCCAGATTCAAGGATCTGGTGAGTTTCAGTTCCCTGATACCATCTGGGAGGCTTGATGGTCAGTTTCCTGAGGAAGGAACTCAGATAAGACAGATACAAGTTTCAAGCTTTAAGACCAGGAAGTCAATATCTACATTTATCAGAAAACAATAAACATTAGTTCTATGGGACAATTGGCTCTGTTTCAAAGTCAGAGGGAAATATAACCATGTTTAGGTACTTAAGAATGGCTGAGTCAGCTTGCCCTGGAGAGCTCTTCTTTGGAGAAGAAAGTATGGTGACTACATGCAAGCTGTCTGCCTTACTCTTGATAGGGTTGCTTCCTATGGATATGTTCCTACATAGCATAAATAAGTTTATGATTAAATTGTCATACCTGTTTTCATAAGGAAGTACCTTATGTCGGTGTGTGTTTATCACCCAGTATTAGAGGCCTCAATGACCTAATTATATAGTAAATAATTACTATGGCCTATAAATCCAAGTAAAATATATTTCATTTAACTCATGGTTGTACACTCTACGGCTAAGAATTGCACACAAGTCCCATTCCAGTGCTTAGGGATAGTATGTGTTATATGTTAGCAGTAGTTTAGCATCATGATGTTATTACACAGCTTGACACAAATTTGTATTTATCCATGTTTTCTTTTCAATAGATGAGTCTTGTAAATAAAGGTGCAACTTGAGCCAAAAATTTAAGTTTTAATAAAACAGTAAGTGATACGCTTTGGCCGTGTCCCCACCCAAATCTCATCTTGAATTGTAACTCCCACAATTTTCACATATTATGGAAAGAACCACGTAGGAGGTAACTGAATCATGGGGGTGGGTCTGTCTTGTGCTGTTCTCGTGATACTGAATATGTCTCAAAAGATCTGATGGTTTTAAAAATGAGAGTTTCCCTATACATGCTCTCTCTTTGCCTCCCACCATCCACGTAAGATGTGACTTGTTCCTTCTTGCTTTCTGCCATGATTGTGAGGCCTCCCCAGCCACATGGAACTGTGAGTCCAGTTAAACTTAAACCTCTTTCTTTTGTAAATTGCCCAGTCTCGGGTATGTCTTTATCAGCAGTGTAATAACTAATACTGTAAGTCTCTGGGTATAATGGGTGGAGAGACACATGGCCATAAAAATGGCTAAGTTGTTTTGGATAAGAATTATTTCGTAATTTGAAGTGTCATTTCTTTAGTGAAAATCTGAGGTATTGTTCAATCTTAAGCTTGTTTCAGAAAAGACTTGTTATAAGATAATAATGTAGTGTTGAAGGGACATGACGTTTGTTTTGTTTTTGTTTTATCAATAAGACAGTAAAATAATTTGTTTCCCTTTGAGCCCACAAATAGGCTACCCACTTATACCTAACAGTTGAAGAAATTTCAGTGTTCAGTCTCCTTAGCATTTTTTTACCAAACGTTCAACCAAGATGTGAAATTAGCTACAGATGTTTTTCTAATTCTGTGGAGTCTTGAGAAGGTAGCAGTTTTCATGGCAAGGCTTGTTTTATTGTATTTTCACTGCTTTTGTGCTTTACTTGTATGAAGCACTCAATTTTGGTAGTTAGCTAATGACTTAGGATAGAGTTCACAGTAAAATTCCCAGATGTAAGATTCCAGTTGAAAATTCTTGTTTGTGGTTGGTAACTGTAGATGAAAAGTTTGTTCTTAATAGGCTGTGTCTTTCAGCATACATAGAGCTTAACATAGGCTGGGAGAGGCTAAACCACTGATTTTGTCTTCATTCTAGTTCTTTTGGTAGTAATCAAAGTAATATGTAAATATGTATTTTCAATGTAAACCCTTAGCAAAATATCACCATTATAATAAAATATTTGCATGTTATCAACATTTTTCATTGAGCTAGGATTAGCTCGACACACAGGAGACTGAAAACACATAATATATGCTTTGCCAAGTGAAGGCAAACTGAAGAGGACTAATGAAGGCAACTGAAGAGAACTAATAAAGATGCATTAGCAAGATCGAAGGCTGCATACACTTCCAACTAGGCATGACTTATTTCAGTCCTGTTACGATGTTAGACATTTTTGAAACAATATCAACCTTTTTCATGTTTAAACCTCAGTTGCTGGCATCACTGTAATACTCTAAGCATACCTGGCTTCCACAGAGAAAACTGGGCTATTAAGTTAGAAGATAATATTGTACAGTACCCTGGTCTGTACAAAATACTTATGAGTTGCTGAATAAAATTGTCTTTTTCTGATATACAATGTAGGTTCAATTTTCCAAACTTGGCAAGATTTAGGAATATAAGCTGTTTGGGGCCATATGTTTGGCTGACCTTTATAGAGTCCAAAAACAGAGGTGTCAATGAATGCATCCTAATCAGCATGTCCATGTGATGACTACCCAGAATATCTTCATAAAACACAAAGACTGACAGAAAAACAGTATATATAGTTCAGATACAAAATACAAAATCATAGCCTCATAAATTCTTTCCCTTTATTAATTTCAGAGATTCATGACCTCAGACATTTCCCCAAATCTTATCTTCATCTTGGTTTATCTTGTTTCCGTAATTCTCTGCATTAATTCCAGGTAAAAGCCATGTATCAGCCCATTGGCTGGTCTGTCTTTGATCCACAAAAGCTTTAAAATCTATTCCAGCTATATGCATTAGCTCATCTACTTTGTTGATAATCTGAACTGTCCCCTATGTCTGCTAGCTGTGCATGCTGTTCTAAGTAAACCAGGTACCACCTTTCAGTCATAAAAATATAATGTATTCTTGTTATTATTTGTTTATTTGTTTTTCCATCCTTCAAAGAACTTGGGCAGCTCTTCTTAGGTTAACAGCAACCTTACTCTCTGAGCTTTTGCATGTAAGTTCATAAAAATTTATATTTGTAATATCTACCTGCTGAATTAAATGTTTCATTATTTTTAAGGACCTTTCTTCTAAGGCTTCATCTAATATTGAAATAGCTACATTCACTTATGTGCTTAAAGTTTTCCTGGGCTATCTTTGATCCTTATTCCTTTTTTAGGTGTCCCTTTAAAATAGCTGGATTTTGCAAAGTTCTTTTTAATTGTATTGTTAGCCATTTATATCTGTCTTAATTACTATTATTTGGACTTTCCAACCATTTTATTTTATGCTTTTTACTTAGCATTCACTTTCTGTTTCTTTGATTTTTTTTCTCTTTCTTATCCTTTCTTCATTTGGGTTAGTTGATTTTTCTCTGAAATCTTTGTGTATGTGTGTGTGTGTGTATTTCTGTGTTAACTAATTGGATAATTATTGATATTACTTTATTGGTTAACTCAAAAATGTCAACATAAGAACTTAAATTATTAAAATGTATAATGTTTTTCCTGGCGTTTGTTTAATACAATAGAAAATAAAGTATTACACTGAAAAAAGAAACGTTTAATTTAATCACTAATGAAATCTCAAACTTCAAAACCTCAGAGCACTTTTTTTCACTCACGCTTTCTCAACTTTGATATTGTTCTGTAGATTATTTTTATTGTCTTATTTTAATCACAAACTAGTTTATAGTTATTATGCAGATACCCCATGTTTTTTTCATATAGTGAGACTGGTTTGAAACTAAAAAAAGCCAAACGGGGTATAATAATAAATTCTTATCAATTAATGTATAAGTATGTTGCAAGGCTCACAGTTAAACTGCAAGTCTTTTTTGTCATTGTCACCACAAAATGAAGAATTGAAAATCAAGAGTTTAAAAAATGATGCTTGTGAGAGCAACAGTTTAACTTATTGCAAATTCCAGCTCTGCTCAAAATTTAATGCACATAGGTACCACTGGCCATCTTGTTAACATTTAGATTCTGATTTAAAAACGTGAGGTGGGACTTGAAATTTTGCCTTTCTCTCACACTAACAGCTGATATTCCTGCTGACAGTCCATGGATCATGCTTTATTTTAAAGGGAATGGTCCTTTTAAGCACCAGAATAAGAACATATTTCATATGGAGGGAGAATGGAACATACTACTTTCTCCATATTTAAGTAACCAAAGCTTGAGCAAAAAGAAAAAAGCTGAAGGTGTCATACTACCTAACTTCAAAATATACTATGAAGCTATGGTAATCAAAACAGCATAGTAATGGCACAAAAGCATACATGTAGACCAATAGAACAGAATAGAGAACCCAGAAATAAATCCACACATTTGTTGTCAATTGATTTTAGACAAAGGTGCCAAGAACAAACCATAGAGGAAGGACATTTTCTTTAATAAATGGTTTTGAGAAAACTGGATATCCACATGCAGAGAATGAAATTAAGCCCTAATCTCACACCCCATATACAAATCAACTCAAAATAGATTAAATCCCTAAACATATGACCTGAAACCATAAAACTACTAGAAGAAAACAGGGGAAAAGATCCATGGTGTTGGTCTGGGAAATTATTTTTTGGATATAACCCAAAAAATACAGACAACAAAATAAAAAAAACCTACAAATGAGATTATAGAAACTAAAACCTTACTGCGCAGCTAAGGAAACAATCAGCAAAGTGAAGAGACAACCTATATAATGGGAAAATATATTTGCAAACTATACATCTGACAGTGGGTTAATATCCTGAATATGTAAGGAACTCAAACAACTATACAGAGAGAAAACAAACAACACAATTACAAAAATGGGCAAAGGAGTTGAAAAGATTTTTCTCAAAACAAGACACATAAATGGTAAATATGTGTATAAAAAAATGCTCACCCTCACTAATCATCAGAGAAAAGCTAATTAAAATCACAATATTATCTCACCCTGTTACAATGTTTTTTATAATCAGATGAAAGATAAAAAGTACTGGCAAGGATGTGGAGAAAAGGGAACACTTGCATATTGTTGGTGACAATGTAAATTAGTAAAGCTATTATGGAAAACTGCAAGGAAGTTCCTCAAAACTTAAAAACAGAGCTAACATATAATCCAGCAATCCAAATACTGGGTATATATCCAAAGGAAATGAAATCAGTATTTTAAAGAAATACTCATTGCAACATTATTCATAGTAGCCAAGAAATGGAGTCAATCTAAGTATCTATCATAGGATAAAATGTGGTACATATACACAACGAAATACTATCTCACTTTATAAAAGAAAGAAATTCTATCATTTGTTACAACATGGATGAACCCGGAGGACATCATGTTATGTAAAATGAGCTAGGCACAGAAAGGCTAATTCACATATATGTGGAATTTTTAAAAGTTTCACTCACAAAAGGATAGAGTATAATGCTGGTTACTAAGAACTGGGGGAGAAGGGTAGGAAAGAATACAAAATGTCAGTCATATAAGAAGTATAAATTCAAAGATATATTGGACAACATGGCAACTACAGTCAATTACAATGCATTGTATACTTGAAAATCACTACTAGAGTAAATTTCACCAAACACAAACACACACGCACACAAAAGATGAGTATATCAGGTAATGCATATGTCAGTGAGCACAATTTAGGCCTTCAACAACGTGTATGTATTTCAAAACATTATGTCGGCACATGATAAATATATGTAATTTTATTTAAAAATAAAGTATTTAAAAGAACATACTTAAACATGTGTAGGAATTTTAGTTATACTAAATGTATTTTTATTTATGTTTTGCAATTTCTATGGAAACAATTTGAAGAAAAACTGTCACAATGAAAGTTGGTAAAGTATAACTAATTAAATAAAAGTGATATGCCATTTTCATAAACTTCAATTCTGAAATAAAATCACTTCACAAATAATAAATACCCATGTGTTTTTAGCTGCATAATTGTCTCTTTATATCCAACGTCTTTAAGCCATAGATCAATATCCTATTTTTGGTTTATTTTTCCCAAAATAGGCTTAAATGTGTCAGTGTAGCTATATACCAGCCATAAGGTATCATGTGCTATTTTCCAAATTATTAAAAAATCCACTTTAGATAGGTTTTCAATTAATCTTCTTCATTTAGTTTAGCAAATGTGTTCTAACATCTTTAAATTCAGAGAAAAGAGTTAATTTTTAGACTAAATTATCTAAAGTTTTTATGTTTTGTTTGTACTGCTTCACAATATCTATGCTTATAATTTTCAGATTTATTCCTTAATTTTTGATTATTCTCAATATTTTCCCAACAAGTAGAAGACAAATTTATTAAATTTATAACCTAAATTTGTAATTTATTTATGTACTTTAATTTTTGAAGAGAATAGACCCTATATATCAAAGAATTGCTACTAGAAACTTTTTAAAAACTCCTTTGTTTATGAAAAGAAGAATGCAAGAAAAAAGATGTTTAAATTCATATGAGATATTACGTTTCAAAGAGAGATCAGGTTGATTTAAAGAAGACGTGTTTATGCAAAAGTAATCTTGATTCATTTTTACCTTTGATTACTTTTTATCTGGCAAGGCTGAACCCACTGACTTTTCTCTGCACCTGTAATTATAAAAAAATAAATAGAAAGTAAGAGAACTCACCCAGAATATATTAAAGAATAACATGATTCATATGTAACAGCAGCATATTATCACTGTATTGCAATATATCTTTTTTTTCCAAAAACTTGGTTTTACTTATATGTGTATACCTAGGAATACTTGTTTAACAATGACTAAGATAATCTGTATTATCATTATCATTAATCTCCATTCCTTCTGTCTTCTGATATCTACTGGAAATAAATTAAGCCTCATAATAAAAGATTATAATCAATGCATATTTGTAGACTAGAAACCAGTTTTTTTAATTTTATGTATATTAGAGAATAAAACCTAAAAGCAATTTTAGACTGCCTATTTTAAACAAGTTGAAAGATTTTTCTTTTTTTTTGCTTATAAGTTTAATTACAAACATGCCTGTTTACATTGAACTCTTCATGTACGTAAACTGTTGTAATTGATGTTAGACACATGCATACTTGGAACATAAAGTCATATGTAATCCAATGTCCATACTGAATCACAGGAAAGATACAGGATTTTAATGAATCAATAAATGAATAGTTTTATATACCAAGGCCGCCTTATTTCTTGTTTGTATTTGGATATTTGTTTGTAAAACTTTAAAGTCTATTCCCAGGTAAATATAATAAAACACCCATTTGATAATTTGTAACTAATATTTGCATTGTCATATTGAGAGGTGACAACATGCTAGCAGCCCTAGCTCGCTCGCGGCGCCTCCTTGGCCCCGGTGTCCACTCTGGCCACGCTTGAGGAGCCCTTCCGCCCTTCAGCCCGCTGCTGCACTGTGGGAGCCCTCTCTGGGCCTGGCCGAGGCCGGCACCGGCTCCCTCTGCTTGAGGGGAGATGTGGAGGGAGAGACTAGGGCGGGAACTGGGGCTGCGCCTAGCGCTCGCGAGCCAGCGCGAGTTCTGGGTGGGTGCAGGCTCCGCGGGCCCGCACTTGGAGTGGCCGGCTGGCGCCGCTGGCCCCGGGCAGTGAGGGGTTTAGCACCCGGGCCAGCAGCTGCAGAGGGTGCGCCAGGTCCCCCAGCACTGCCGGCCCGCCCACGCCGCGCTCGAATTCTCGCCCCGGGCCTCAGCCACCTCCGCTTGGCTGGGCTGAGGACCCGCAGCCCGCCATGCCCAGCGCCCCCCGCCCCGTGGTGGGCTCCCGCGCGGCCGGAGCCTCCCCTACGGGCGCCACCCCCTGCTCCGCCCCCTGCTCCGCGGCTCCAGGTCCCATCAACTACCCAAGGTCTGAAGAGTGCGGGAACGCGGCACAGGACTGGCAGGCAGCTCCACCCACAGCCCCGGAGCGGGATCCACCAAGCAAAGCCAGCTGGGCTCCTGAGTTGGGTGGGGATTTGGAGAAGTTTTATGTCCAGCTGGAGAATTGTATATGCACCAATCAGCACTCTGTGTCTAGCTCAGGGTTCGTGGATACACCAATCAGCACTCTGTATCTAGCCTGGTGGGGACTTGCAGAACTTTTATTTCTAGCTAGGGGATTGTAAATGCACCAATCAGCACTCTGTGTCTAGCTCAGGGATTGTAAATGCACCAATCAGCACTCTGTCAAAACAGGCCAATCAGCTCTCTGTAAAATGGACCAATCAGCTCTCTGTAAAATGGACCAATCAGCAGCATGTGGGTGGGGCCAGATAAAGGAATAAAAGCAGGCTGCCCAAGCCAGCAGAGGCAACCCAGTCGGGTCTCCTTCCATGCTGTGGTAGATCTTCCATGCTGTGGTAGATTTGTTCTTTTGCTCTTTGCAATGAATTTTGCTGCTGCTCACTTTTTGGGTCCACCTGTGAGCTGTAACACTAACCATGAAGGGCTGCAGCTTCACTCCTGAGGCCAGCGAGACCATGAACCCACGGGAAGGAACGAAGAAGTTCAGATGCGCCGCTTTTAAGAGCTGTAACGCTCACTGCGAAGGTCTGCAGCTTCACTTCTGAAGTCAGTGAGACCACGAACCCACCAGTAAGAAGAAACTCCAGACACACCACATTTAAGAACTGTAAGACTCACTGTGAGGGTCCATGCCTTCATTCTTGAGGTCAGCGAGACCAAGAACCCACCAATTCTGGACACAGTATCAGCATAATCAATGTTAACAAGTAACTCTTTGTCCATATATTTTACTTTATATTGAGGAAAGTAACTGGTAAGTAGAAAAAATAGTGTGTTAATGCTCTTTATTGCATTCATATGTGGAAGGACATTATTACTGTTCAATAGAAAATATAACCCCCAAATTCATGGGACACTAAGTAGTTTTGTGTGTAAGGCAGCAAGCTTATTCCAGCATTTTTTTCTGTAGTTCCCCTTGAATTTTCCTCGAATTAGATTTGATGTTCTCTGATCACCCCATTGAAAAGAAAAAGTTTCGACACAAGTTCATTTTAATATTACGTCAGCCATAATTTTAACTTTTGAAAGTTATAAATTGGAATGGTGGAGAAGGGTTAGGAAAGAATACAAAATTTCATATAGGAAGTATAATTTCAAAGGTATATATATAGCACTTCTCAAATTGATATTAAAGGGATGTTACTAGATTGTTTTCAAAGAAACGAACAAAATCTTCTCCCGAGGATAAACATTTAACTCAGGTCAATTTAAAGATGTTTTGTTACTGTGGGACATTTTAGAAACTTTAATAAATTTCAATTTAATGTGGGTATTTCAATAGTTTATGCTCTTCTTAAACTGGGAAGATTTGTTTTATTGGTTCAATTACCTTAAAGAATGTATCCACTTTTTTGATTCTTTATGGAAGACTCTTATTAAAAGTGATTAAAATTATATCATGTTATTTTTATATCTCATAATTTAATATTTTTATATGGTTTTAGTATAATTCTTGACTGTAAGAAGTATCTTTCCAAACTTCGTTTGTGTTGGTCCATTTTCATAGTGGTAATGACATTTCTGAAAGAGTAATATGGTTTGGCTCTATGTCTCAATCCAAATCTCGTGTCGAATTTGAATTCCCAATGTTGAGGGCAGGACCTGGTGGGAGGTGATTAGATCATGAGGGCAGAATACTCTCATGTTGTTCTCATGATAGTGAGTGAGTTCTCAAAAGAGTTGATGGTTTAAAAGTGTGTGGCACTTTGGCCTTTGCTCTCTCTTTCTCTCATGCTCCACCATGGTAAGAAATGCTTGCTTCCCCTGGCCGGGCACAGTGGCTCACGCTTATAATCCCAACACTTTGGGAGGCTGAGGAGGGCAGGTCACGAGGTCAGGATGTTGAGACCATCCTGGCTAACACAGTGAAACCCCGTCTCTACTAAAAATAGAAATAAATTAGCCGAGCGTGGTGGCAGGTGCCTGTAGTCCCAGCTACTCCAGAGGCTGAGGCAGGAGAATGGCGTGAACCTGGGAGGCGGAGCTTGCGGTGAGCAGAGATTGCGCCACTGCACTCCAGCCTGGGGAATAAAGCGAGACTCCGTCTCAAAAAAAAAAAAAAAAAAAAGAAATGCTTGCTTTCCCTCCACCTTCTGCCATGATTCTAAGTTTCCTTAGGCCTTGTGTTCATGCTTCCTGCAAAACTTCAAAACTTTGAGTCGATTAAACCTCTTTTCTTTATAAATTGCTCAGTCTCAGGTAGTTCTTTATAGCAGTGTGAGAATGAATTAATACAGAAAATTGGTACCAGGAGATATTTGAAAATGTGGAAGCAACTTTGGAATTGGGTAATGAGCAGAGGTTGAAATTGTTTGCAGGGCTCAGAAGAAGATAGGAAGATGTGGGAAAATCTGGAATGTCCTAGAGACTTGTTGAATGATTTTGGCCAAAGTGCTGATAGTGATATGGGCAATGAAGTCCAGGCTGAGGTGGTCTCAGAGGGAGATGAGGAACTTCTTGGGAACTGGAGTAAAGATCACTCTTGCTATGCTTCAGCAAAAAAGACTGGGTGTATTATGCCCCTGTCCTAGAGACCTATGGAACTTTGAACTTGAGCGAGATGATTTAGGATATCTGGTGGAGGTAATTTTTAAGTAACAAAGCATTTACGATGTTTACCTGACTGTTTCTGAAAATGTACACTCAGATGCGTAAACAAAGAGATTATCTGAAACTGGATCTTATATTTAAAATGAAAGCAGAGCATAAAAGTTTGGAAAATTTGCAGCTTGATCATGTAGTAGAAAAGAAAAACCCATTTTCTGAGGAGAAATTCATGGCAGCTGCAGAAATTTGCATGAGTAACAAGGAGCCGAATGTTAATAGCCAAGACAATGGGAAAATGTATCCAGGGCATTTCAGAGACCTTCATGGCAGCCCCTCCCATCACAGACCCAGAAGAATAGGAGGGAAAAATGATTTTGTAGGTCAGACCCAGGGCCCAGTTGCTTGGTGCAGCCTTGGGACATGGCATCCAGCGTCTCAGCTGCTCCAGCTCCAGCCATGGCTAAAAGGAGCCAAAGTACAGCTTGTGTCATGTCTTCAGATGGTCCAAGCCCCAAGCCTTGGCAGATTCTTTGTGGTGTTGGGCCTGTGTCTGTGCAGAAGGCAAGAGTTGAGGTTTGAGAACTACCACTTAGATATCATAGGATGTATGAAAATGCCTGGATGTCCAAGCAAAAGTCTGCTGCAGGGGCAGAGCCCTCATGGAGAACCTCTACTAGGACAGTGCATAAGGGAAATGTGGGGTGGTAGCCCCCACACAGAGTCCCCACTGGGATACTGCCTAGTGGAGCTGTGAGAGGGTCACTGTCCTCCAGACCCTGGAATGGTAGACCCATCAACAGCTTGTACCATGCACCTGGAAATGCCACAGGCACTCAACACCAGCCTGTGAATGAGCTGCACAGGCTGTACCCTGCAGAGCCACAGAGGCAGAGTTGCACAAGGCCTTGGGAGTTGGTCTTTGGCATAACTGTGGTCTGCATGTGAGACATGGAGTCAAAAAAGATTATTTTGAAGCTTTAAGATTGAATAACTGCCCTGCTGGATTCCAGACTTGCATGGGGCCTGTAGCCCACTTGAGTTGTCCAATTTCTCCCTTTTGGGAAGGGGAGCATTTACCCAATGCATATACTCCCACTGTATCTTGGAAATAACTAACTTGTTTTTAATTTTATAGGTTAATAGGCAGAAAGGACTTGCCTTGTCTCAGATGAGACTTTAGACTTAGACTTTTGTGCTAATGTTAGAATGAGTTAAGACATTGGGGACTTTTGGAAAGGCATGGTTTGTTTTGAAATGTGAGAAGAAAATGAAATTTAGGAGGGGCCAGGGGTAGAATGATATGGTTTGATTCTGTATCTCCACCCAAATCTCACGTTGAATTGTAATTTCCAATGTGGGGGGAGGGACCTGATGGGAGGTGATTGGATTAAGGTGTGGATTTCTCCCACGCTGTCCTCATGATAGTGAGTTCTCATGAGGTCTGACGGTGTAAAAGTTTATGGCACTTGTCCCTTTACTCTGTCTCTCTCTCCTGCTCCACCATGGTAAGACATGCTATCTTCCATTTTGCCTTCTGCCAGAATTGTAAGTTTCCTGAGGCCTCATAGTTATGCTTCCTGTTAAGCCTGTGAAACTGTGAGTGAATTAAACCTCTTTTCTTCATAAATTACCTAGTCTCAGGTAGTTCTTTATAGCAATGTGAGAAAAGACTAATACAGAAAGGCAAACGTGACCTAGATTTCTAGTTATTTTGTCTCATTCTTACGAGAACATTAGGGTGACCTGACTAAGGCCATATACACTAAAAGGATAGGAAGTAATCTGAAGTGGTGACTGACCTGACAGTCAGGATCTATGCTGATTTGGTGGAGAACTGGGTCAGGATATACTGTGCCATTGTTGTTGGCAATTCCTGACAAGCCAATGTAACTTAGATTTTCTAAGCCAGATAAAAGTGTTGAACATAAATTTTTATCTACTATCAAAGAGTAAAATATTGATTTAAAATACTGAATAGTAAAAAGCCATTGGAAAAGAACAGACATTATTGTTGGGTAAGACTCATAATAGCCAATATTTCTAAGTACTTTTCATATACCTGTATTAGAGTCTTTATTCCTCATAACAGCTCATAAATGGAGGCTCACAGAGACTGTATAACTTGCTTAAGGCTACAGAAATGGTCAGTGGCAGAAATGATATTCCAACATGGGCACGCAGCTGAACTGCGTCATCCAGAAAAATATAGGTTGAAGTTCTAACACTAGTCCCTCAGAAGGTAACTTATTTGAAAATACGGTCTTTGCAGATTTAACAAGGTTAAGATGAATTAATTAGAGTGAGTCTAAAACCAATATGACTGGTGTCCTTTTAAAATGGGGGCATTTGAACACAAACACATACAAAAAGAAGATGGTGTGAAGACATACAAGGAGTATTATGTGAAGACCAAGGATTAAAGTGATACATCTACAAGAAAAAGATGCCTAATGTCACCAAAAGCTGGAAGAGAGGCATGGGAGCGTTCCTTCCCAGGTGCCTTTATAAGGAGACTAGCCTTGCTGACACCTCTCACATAATACATGTCTGTTATTATAAGGCACCAAGTTTATTATAGCAGTCCTGGGAAATTAATACAGGCAATTTAGTTTGAAAATCAATGTATCATCTCAAAGGCTTTGATCTTTGCATACAACGTTTTCACATTTTAAATTTAAATTTTGAAATCACACAGTAACATTGACTACTTGTGAGACATTTTACTTTGCTAGAATTTGATAAAGGAAAATTAGATACTTCTCACATTAGTTGAAATATGTAAAATGATTTTAAAAATATGAAAATAAAATCAAGAATAACCACCGCAGTAAAAATACTTTGGCTTTATAGACTCTAAAATTAATACCATTTGTTAAATATGCTACCTATTAAGTGTTTAAAGCATACTATATTAAAAGTAGAAGGTTTAATCTGATAATTTTATGAGGGAAAAAATGTACACTTTTTTAAACACATGAAAAATGATCCTTTTAAAGTCAATTGAACAACTGACACATAAATCATTGAAACAAATGCTTTGAAAGTTGACATCTGTTGCTACATTGCAATGTCTTATATTCTGTGAAATTAATAAATAAATTTTATGCAGCTTATCAATGTATTATTCTGTTCATACATTGCTGTAAAGAACTGAGACTGGGTAATTTATGAGAAAAGAGGTTTAATTGATTCACAGTTCTCCAACTGCACAGGAAGTATGGCTGGGGAGGCCTCAGGAAACCTACAATAATGATGGAAGTCACAGGAGAGGCAGGCACGTCTTCTCATGGCTGAGAAGAAGACATAGAGCGAAGGGAAAAGTGCTGCACACTTTCCAACAACCAGATTTCATGAGAACTCAGTCGCTATCACAGAAACAACAAGGGAGAAATCCACCCCCATGATCCAATCACCTCCCACCAGGCCCGCTTCCAACACTGGGGAATACAATTCGACATGAGATTTGGGCAGGGACACAAATTCAAACCATATCAATCAGTAATTATTTCTTTCTTTAAAGTATAATGTATTAATTTAACTCTCTAAATGTCTTTTTAGAATGTGTGTGGGTCAGCAGCAGGTCCTTGTATTGCAGGCTTTCACAACAGATGGCTTTTGATTGTCATTACATTAGAGTTAACCACTAAATACTCCTTGGTTTGTCTGAGGTACTGTGAATGCTAGCTAGAATCTTCCTTGTACTGATTATACAGTTCATGGCATCTGCCCATTTTCTGCTTCATTGTGCCCTGTCAAAAATAGATACTATTATCTTCAAAAGTTTCACTGCAAATGAGAAACATGCTGAGGCTACAGTTCATGCACACCAGTAGAGTGTCTATCAGGCTTAGAAGGTGTGAACATACTAAAACTGAGGGCCATTAATTATAGCAATTTTACAAGTGGGATGGCATATTTTATATCAAGAAAATAATGCATAGGGATTTATTGTACTAAGATTGTCCTTTATTGAATGGCCTTTAATTTTATCAAGTAAAAATCATCTCAATTATTTTTCATGGTCTAAGACATTTACTGTTTTGTTCAATTCTGACACTACTTTTCAAAATGCACGCATCAGCAAGACTCATGAAAAATTATAAGGACCAATGATTTTAAAGTGCTTACATTTTAAATGTAAACAATAAAGTATATTCATAAGCAGAGCTTTATCAAGGTACCAGTGTGTGACTTAATTTGTTTTTAAAGATTAGGGACCAATATCTGAAGATCTAAACAAAATTTTTGGCTAGGCTGAGTTGACTAGAAGTAGGAGAGAAGAGTGAATTAATTTTATTCAGGGGGAAAAGCTTGACTGAATGTAAACCTGTAGATAAGTATTAATGATGACCAGGATAAGCAGAGAGAGTAAGAATACGTGCAGAGGGGCTTTAATGGTAGTGGAAGTTTGTAGAAAGTTGAAGACAACAAAAACAGGCTAAGTGCGTGTGATTCACAGTAAGCTTATTGCCTTAAGTTTTTAGAGCCACTGTGTCAAATTGCACGACAAACACCATGGATTTGAGAAAAAGTTCAAAATATTGGAATACAAAACAAATGAACTTATAGCAACAGAATAGAATAGTGGTTTCTGGAGGCTGCAGAGTTAGGGAAATGGGAAAATGTTGGTTAAAGGGTACAAAGTTTCAGTGGCACAAGAAGGATAAACCTTTTGAGATCATTTGCATAACATGGTGAATACAGCTAATAATCATGTATATTTCAAAATTGCTGAGAATAAAATTAAAATTTTCTCACGACAAAAAATTTAGTATTTGAGGTGGTGGATACATTAATTAGCTTGATTTAATTAGTCTACATGTATACATATATCATAACATTATTTTGTAACCAATACATATATACAATTATAATTTGCTGACATACAATAAAATTTTTTAAAAAGACAATTAGTACTGAAAATGTTTATACTACAATTTGTTGAACACCTACTAAATGTCATGCAATATTTCAAATACTTGGGATATGTTGATAAGCAAAATATACCTGTGGTCATACTGCTTATCTGCTAGCGGATAAAGACTAAATAATATGCAAAAAGCATTAGAATATGGAAGCAGTGACAGAAGTTGAGAAAGCAGAGACTTGATATGAAGCTGTTACTGTAATCCAGGTAAGAGATGATGGCAACTTTGTAAATAAATGTGATGTGGTATCCTAGATAGCATCCTTGAACTGAATAAGAAAATTAGATAAAAGCTAAGGAAATCTGAATAAACTATAGAATTTGGTTAACAATAACATATCAAATATAGGCTCTGCTCAATTTTTCTATAAATATATTTTAAATTAATAATAAAATATTGATAATATGCTTAGTTGTCTTATCTTTACACCCCTCCATGTTCCTGCCTTTCCACTTTAATGGCTTTGCTGTCTCCATCAACCGTTTTGCTGATCAGAATGTTTGGTTGGCCTCCGGCTATAATTTTCCTTAGATCACTTCTTTTTTATCCCCACTCGAAATTGTACTTGGACATTGTAAAATTTCACAACACTTTGCTACTATGCTTTTTAAAGTTTATTATTTATTATTCAGTGTATCTCAGTGGACCTTATAATGTGGCAATATCTGTCTATATTTATTGAGGGATTTTTTTCCAGTATTTATTTATTTATTTCTGCCCACCTCCCATCCTATCTATTGAAACTGCTTCATTTGAAAAGATTTTATTCACTTCATGATGAATATCAAAAGTTAATATTTATTCATATGTAGTTTATTTCATTTATTTTTGGTTAGCCCACTGCAAATTATTTTAGTAATCTTTTCAATTTTCACACACAATTTATCTTTCTCTGATTTAACCGTAGTTGAATGCAAATTGCCACCTTTTCTTTACTCTGAATAGAATTCTTGAATATGGAGAGGGAAAAGCCCATAGTAGGGGTAGATTTTGGTTAGTTTAGATGCTTGATCACAAACATTGAGTCCTCAGCTGCATCTGGAAATCTACTACATATCTCTGATTTATGATCTCTTTTTCTTTCAGTTGTATTTTTTGCATCCTTTTTCTTCAAACATATACATCTTCTCACTCTCATCTTATGAGTTTCTTATTTTACTGAAAAAAAAAAAAAACTAGGAAAAGGTGAGAGTGGAATTTCCTAATCCTACGACAACAAATCTACTTTCATTTAGGGCCTCTTTTGTATAACAAACTGTTTCCTATCTGAGACTATCCAGTCGACCTGTATACAAGACTTTGTCATTTCTTGCCTTTCTTAAGTAGGCATGTTTCTCAAGTGTCTTTCAAGTTACTTTCTCTCTTCCTGACTAAAAAATGTCTATCTTTTCAGTACAATTCCTTAAGCAAAATAAGATGTTGTAAAAATTGCACTTTAAAAGATGAAGAAACTTTCATTTGATATCACTCTCTAATTGATGGCAATTTCTTTTTCCCACTTTAGCAAATGTAATCAAAAGAGTATTTTCTGCTCACTGATCTACTTTGTCTCTTCCATAGTCAAACAAGGCTATTGTTTTTACCATTCATTTTAATTTTTCAGTGCTCAGTTTATTTGACTCTCACCTTCATTGTGTTTGGTTGATCAACCACTAAGTCTTGAAGGACTCATTTTATGATTTTTCACTATTTTTTTGCTTTTCATTTTACTTAGCCGGCTTTTTCTTTTAACTATCTTTTTGTTGAATCATCTTCATCTTCTAAGTTATGAAATGTTGGGAAACACTCTAAGGCTTTTTTCTAGAGGTGGTCCATCATCCTGAAAGTAAAGAGCAGAAACAGAAAATATATCAGGGTTAAATAAGGAAAGAGAATAGAATTATGAAAAGGGTTAGGCTCTGACTTTATAAGCAATTTGATTGTGAATAATGGAATTAAGTGGAGTGAAGGTAAGTGAACAGTTTGCCTAATCATCTCCCTAATATTCCTTCCAATCTACTTATGTCCATGTCTAATAAATAGTGAATATCTTCTCTGCATTCCATGCCACTTTACACATATCAAGATAAATTTTTCTTTCCTTAAATCCTTAAACTTCTCATTCTCTTTTTAATTTTCTTCGAAATATTGAAGCTAACCATCAAGGGTAAGCTAATCTGTTTCCTATAAATTCTCCCTGTGAATGTGAGATTGAGTAAGTGATTCAGAAGACCCAAAATGAAGAACTTTCATTTTTTTGAGGGTCTGGCCTTCAATGTAAAGAAGCTAAAGAACTCTAGGATACACTTTATTTTGGTACCTGTTGGAGGAGAACATAGGAATGCAACCAGAAATAAAATGTGTTTTTTACTCTATGTTTTTTTCTTTACTAGTTTACAATTAAGACGAGTTAATGGGTGCAGCACACCAACATGGCACATGTATACATATATAACAAACCTGCACGTTGTGCACATGTACCCTAGAACTTAAAAGTAAAATAAAATAAAAAGATTATTTAATAATAAGTCTAACCATTCCAGTTATCCACTCTCTTTTTTTTTTTTTTTTTCTTTTTTTTTTGAGACGGAGTCTCACTCTGTCGCCCAGGCTGGAGTGCAGTGGCGGGATCTCGGCTCACTGCAAGCTCCGCCTCCCGGGTTCACGCCATTCTCCTGCCTCAGCCTCCCAAGTAGCTGGGACTACAGGCGCCCGCCACTACGCCCGGCTAATTTTTTGTATTTTTAGTAGAGACAGGGTTTCACCGTTTTAGCCGGGATGGTCTCGATCTCCTGACCTCGTGATCCGCCCGCCTCGGCCTCCCAAAGTGCTGGGATTACAGGCGTGAGCCACCGCGCCCGGCCTATCCACTCTCTTGAACTTGTGATTGGGTAGTATTTATATACTTTTATTACAGAGCTCAATCAGTTAATATTTTAATGCCTGTTTATATATGTATCGTATGTATGTATGTGTGTATGTATCATATATATGTGGGTATATATACACACACATTTTTTTTCTTCTAGGTTTTAAGACTTTTGAAGGAAGTGTTGTAAGGTCTTTCTAGAGTAGACTCCATTGTGATTATTTTAAATAAAAATGTGGGCCAGCCACAGTGGCTCACGCCTGTAATCCCAGCACTTTGGGAGGCTGAGGCAGGTGGATCACAAGGTCAAGACGTCAAGACCATCCTGGCCAACATGGTGAAACCCCGTCTCTACTAAAAATACAAAAATTAGCTGGGTGTGGTGGCGCATGCCTGTAGTCCCAGCTACTCGGGAGGCTGAGGCAGGAGAATTGCTTGAACCCGGGAGGTGGAGGTTGCAGTGAGCCAAGATCTCGCCACTGCACTCCAGCCTGGAGACAGAGGGAGACTCTGTCTCAAAAAAAAAAAAAAAGAAATTTGATCCAAAAAAAAGGGATGAAATTTCTAGAAATGGATGAGGAACCAACCTAAGTGTTCATAGTTCTTATTAAAATACTATTTATGTTATTTCCAGTATGTGAGAATCCGCAATTACTTGGATGCTCCTGCACAGCGGTAGTGTTGATTATTTGGTAATTAGAGTTTGCCTGTTCTCTCAAAGCAAAGTTTCTGCAGTTAAGCATGACTGGTTCCCCATTAGAGGGCAGAGAATGCACTCAACATTCTATTTTCTAAGGACAGGAACTGCCAGTCTATTGTGAAATTCAGTCAAAAGTAAAAAGTAAAAAACAATATCAAAAATTATTACTTAATTATATGTCAGAAATTCTGAACTTATTTGGTGATTTCTGACAGACTTCCCTACAATAGGCAGGAATTGGAATCAATTATCTATGTTCACTTCTAAATGTAGCATGATGACACAAGCATCAAATATTTTGGCAAATGAATGAAGTTTTGCTTTAAAAATGGACTATTATAAGCTGGGCAGTAGCCATGAGCCTCATTATTTTCTCTTACAAAGTAATTCATGATAGTTTACAGGGATTTTGCTTGAATGTTTAAGCCTATGATTATGTTTAATAAAATAGATAGGTAGATAGAAAAAAATAAATTAGCAAGCTCTCTAATCACAGTGAAAAGTTCCTGTATTTTATTAAGCACGTCTAAAATTTAGTGTTATTTCGGCAAAAATTAAAGTACTGACTCAAACTTTCAAATAATCTTTTTTTATTAAATAGTTCAAAACATGAGGCATTCTAATGTATAGGTTTTTATACATACTTTAGAGTTTGGAGATTTTAAATTAGAGCGTAAAATTTCAGGAAATAGTAAAAAGTTCATAGCTTTGAAATTGGCTTTATGAAATGTTCCTGAAAATGATATTCTACTGTAATTTACAACAAGCTTTAATCTTAAAAAAATTGTAACTGGCCACCTGGGGGACTTAATGGTTTCATAGAAATAGCACTAAAGGAGGATCCAAAATTAAATACAACTATTCTAAGGTGTATTCTCCCATTTAGTTTGTAATTGTGTGAAAGAAATTTGACCCCTTTGAGACTCAATCTATTAAACATATATTGTAAGAATGTATTTTAATAATAAGGTTATTTTCAGTCTGTCAATATATAATTGGAATTTGTTCTTATCTTACACTGCCAATGTTATTCAACTTTTCTATTCATATTCTAGCTACTATAATAGTCCACATTAAACTTTGATGTAAAAATGTCTAAGATCAAGATATATTAAGGGAATGTGAACATAGCCAAACCCAGGCAGTAGTTGGTCTTTGATCAAATGCTATAATTTATATAATATAAAATATCAACATACCAAGATATGATTAAACTCTTAAGAAGCAGTTGTTTGAAATATGTCATTCAGATTTTTGCCTAACTTTTAACATAGTTTTCATTTGTCACTTCTTTCTATGTGAGTCATCATATACAATGAAGAGGCAGAAATTATATTTATTTTTACCTAGAAAAAATAGTATTAACAGTTTTTAACTAGATGTTAAGTTAGTTAGATAGCTGAAAGGGTAAATTTTGAAAAAGACTAAGGTGTTCCTTAGGACTGGGGGAACAAAATGAAAAGGTTAAGATGATTAAAATTTTGAATCTTGGAGGAGGGGTCTTGAAGAACTGAAAGTAAGATCTCTGAAGCTCTGAGTCTTTTCTAAAGGGCGCTTCATGGGTCTGGCACCCAGACCTTTTGGATGTTCCTTCTGTAGAGAGTTGGGATCTATGTCTTCTTCCTCTGAATCATTATTAGACCCCTTACCAACAGGATGCCCTACCAGGATGCCCTGCAAGTGATGCTGTGTAATTTCTGAAATTCTGCTTTCCTTTGGGTCTTTAGAACACTTTTTGCTGGGGAAATCACTTGCCATATAAAGAGTCTGTCCACTCTACATTGCCATGCTGAAGAGGCCACTTATATACACTTCTGTGGGTAGTTCAGTTGATCTCCCAGTTAACAGCCAGCAGCTATGCTAGCAATGGGCATAATTATGGCATGAGATGATTGCATGATTGCAGCCTTAGCCAACATCTGACTGCCATTGCAGAGGGGAACCCAAATGAGCACTGCCTAGTCAAGCCCACACTGTGTCCCTGACCTGCAAATTTGTGTTCTAAAAAAAAAAGGGATGTTTTATGTCACTCCAGTTTGGGATAATTTATTATACAGCAATAGTAATGGGAGCAGAATGCAGCAGTAGGCAGACAGAAAGGTACAATTTCCTTCTTTTTTATCCAGCCCTGTAGTCTCTCTCCAATGGCCCTGGTTAGCAGTACCTAGCTGGGTGCTAGCTGGCAAAGCAGAAATGTGTTTTGCAGAGTTTTAGGCTCTGCATCACAAAGCATAGTAAGAAACAATTGATTCAGAACAGAGAAACAATAGCTTAATAAATGGCATATGATATTTATATAAAGGATGAAAATCATTCCAGTCTAAAATTAAAAATTTAATTATACTTAATAATATTTACAATAATATTGTAGGTGTTTGGAAATAACGTCAAAGCAGTAAACTAGGACAAGGTTTTGGAAAATGGCACATGGATTAATATTAAGTGGAACTAATCTGCTTGATGGAATCAGTATACATTAAGACCTACTCATCTCCAAAATTAATCTGCATCTCTATTACCATTATCATGAATAATAATTAATTATTAGAACAGCTTTCAGATAAACTCATATTGTCATTAGAAAAACTAACACACATTTAGCCTTTATTGTGTCACTCTTAGTAATCAGGACACATTAGCAATATAACTACTGGAGTTAAAAAGAAAAAAATAGAAAAAATCTGAATCAGGACAGATTACATTTCAATTTTGCCATCCTCTACGTAGATGGGACATACTGTAGTGTGTTTTCCCTGCATATTTTAAGTTGCCTTACTGTAAACTAAATAATCATTACTACTACTAATACTATTGTTATTCATAGTATTAATAATAGCAGGGTGTGTTGGTGCACACCTGTAATCTCAGCTATGAGGGAGGCTGAGGCCAGAGAATCGCTTGAACCTGGGAGGCAGAGCTTGCAGTGAGCTGAGATCAGGCCACTGCACTCCAGTCTGGGTGACAGAGCGAGACTCTGTCTCACACGCACAAAAAAATAATAATAATAACAAAATAAAATAAAATAAACTCCTTTATAATACTATTAGTAGTAGCAGTAATAACAGTTGCAACTTGTGAAAATGAGTTCTGACAAGATCTGATGGTTTTATAAGTGTTTAACTGTTCCTCCTTCCCTCGCTCTGTCTCTCTCACCTGCCACCATGTAAGATGTGCCTGCTTCCCCTTCTGCCATGACTGTAAGTTTCCTGAAGCCTCCCCAGCCATGTGGAACTGTGAGTCAATTCAACCTCTTTCCTTTGTAAATTACCCAGTCTCAGGTATGTCTTTATAGCTGTGTGAAAACGGACTAATACAGCAAATTGGTACTGCAGAGAGTGGGGTACTGCTATAAAGATAACCTGAAAATGTGGAAGTGACTTTAGAACTGGGTAACAGGCAGAGGTTGGAACAGTTTGGAGGGCTCAGAAGAAGCCAGGAAGATGAGGGAGTTTGGAACTTCCTAGAGACGTTGAATGGTTTTGACCAAAATGCTGAAAATGATGTGGACGATAAGGTCCTCGTTGAGGTGGTCACAGATGGAGATGAGAAACTTCTTGGAAACTGGAGCAAAGGTCACTCTTGCTATGCTTTAACAAACAGCCTGGTGGCATTTTGCCCCTGCCCCAGAGATCTGTGGAACTTTGAACTTGAGAGAAATGGTCTGAAATTGGAACTTATGTTTAAAAGGGAGGCAGAGCTAAAAGTTTACAAAATTTGCAGCCTGACCATGTGATAGTAAAAAAAACAACAACCCATATTATGGGGAGAAATTCAAGCCAGTGGCAGAAATTTTCATAAATAACAAGGTTATGCAAATTTGCATATGTAATGAGGCTATGGTATTAACCAAATGTTAATAGCCAAGACAATGGGAAAAAGTTCTCCAGGGCATGTCAGAAACCTTCAGAGATGCCTCTCCCATCATAGCCCCAGAGGCCTAGGAGAAAAATATGGTTTCCTGTGCTGGGTCTAGGGTCCCGCTCCTCTGTGTATCCTCCAGACTTGGTGCCCTGCATCCCAGCTGTTTCAGCTCCAGCCATGGCTAAAATGGGCCAAGGTACAGCTCAGGCTGTTGCTTCAGAGGGTGCAAACCCCAAGCCTTGGTGGCTTCCATGTGGTGTTGGGCCTGTGGATGTACAGAAGTCAAGAATTGAGGTTCGGGAACCTCCATGTAGTTTCAGAGGATGTATGGAAATGCTCCGATGTCCAGACCGAAGTCTGCTGCAAGGGCAGAGCCTTCATGGAGAGCCTCTGCTAGGGCAGTACAGAAGGGAAATGTGGGGTTGGAGACCCCACACAGCGTCCCCAGTGGGGCACTGCCTAGTGAAATTGTGAGAAGAGGGCCACTGTCCTCCATACCCCAGAATAATAGATCCATCAACAGCTTGAATGGTTCATCTGGAAAAGCCACAGGCACTCATGGCCAACCCATGAAGGAGCTGCCCACGGCTTTGGGAGCCCACCCCTTGCATCAGTGTGCCCTGCATGTGAGACATGGAGTCAAAGGAGATAATTTTGAAGCTTTAAGATTTAATGACTGCTCCACTGGATTTTGGACTTGCATGGGGCCTGTGGCCACTTTGTTTTGACCAATTTCACCCATCTGGGATGGGAATAGTTACCCAGTGCCTGCACCCCTACTGTGGCTTGAAAGTAACTAACTTGTCTTTATTGTATAGGCTCATAGGCGAAAGGGACTTGCCTTGTCTCAGATGAGACTTCGGACTTGGATTTTTGAATTAATGCTGGATTGACTTAAGAATTTGGGGGACTGTTAGAAAGGCATGATTGGTTTGAATTGCGAAAAGAGGTGAGATTTGAGAGGGGCCAGGGCAGAATGATATGTTTTGGCTCTGTGTCCCCACCCAAAACTCATCTCAAATTGTAATCCCCATGTGTCGAGGGAAGGAGGTGATTGGATCATCGGGGCAGTTTCCCTCAGGCTGTTCTCATAATAGTGACTTCTCTTGGGATCTGATGGTTTCATAAGTGTTTGGAAGTTTCTCCTCATTCCTCTCTCTCCTGCCACCTTGTGAAAAAGGCGCTTGCTTCCCCTTTGCCTTCTACCATGATTGTAAGTTTCCCAATGCCTCCACAGTCATGTGGATCTATGAGTCAATTAAACCTCTTTCCAGCTAGGTGGGGTGGCTCACGCCTGTAATCCCAGTAGTTTGGGAAATGGAGGCAGGAGGATCACCCGAGGTCAGGAGTTCGAGACCAGCCTGGCCAACATGATGAAATACCGTCTCTACTAAAAACATAAAAATTAGCCGGGCATGGTGGTACGCACCTGTTATCTCAGCTATGAGGGAGGCTGAAGCTAGAGAATCGTTTGAACCTGGGAGGCAGAGCTTGTGGTCAGCTGAGATCAGGCCACTGCACTCCAGCCTGGGTGACAGAGCAAGACTCTGTCACACACACACACACACAAATAATAAAATAAAATAAAATAAACTCTTTCATTTATAAATTACCCAATCTTGGGTATGTCTTTATAGCAGTGTGAAAATGGACTAATACAATACTCAATAGCAAAATAAAGAAATAAAGCATAATAAAAAAATAAAAAAAAAGACATACATGTCAGAAGTGTTATCACAGTAGCTTGATTGGGAAACATAATGGAATTTGAATTCAGATTTATTTAACACACAGAAGCACTTCTGTCTGCTATAAACTGACGTGTTAACACAATTACCCATGACTTCAAAAATATGGATTAAATCATACAAAAAAAAATCCTATAACTCTGCAAACTATTGAGGAAAGTCTATACTTTATAATTTTTAACATGCCTTAAACATTCTAGGAAAATTATTCTGTAAAGTGCTCTTTTTATGCTGTGAATTTCATGTTATCTTGATTAGTAACACAAAGAAGTCCTGCTGATTAACTGTTATTATTTCAGTTTTGTGTCAAGAAAAATGAAGTCTCATCAAGCTTAGAAAAGTCCCCAAAGCTACTCATCTAAGCACGAGAGAGTGACAGAGTTAGAAACCCAGAAGTTTGATACCAGAAACCATGTTTTTATATTTCACTTTGCTTCCTAGTAGGTGTTGGGAGTTGCAGAATCTATTTAAATGGAATCCTGGTTTGTGATTAGATCTCTCTGCTCTCATCAGTCCTAGAGGATCACTTTGAAATAATTAATAGATAAAGCATTCATGAGTTTTTCTTCTATAACCATTAATAGATTTTGAACCCAATCTAGATACCTTAAAGGATCTTCAAAGCAAAAAGAATTTTCAAAACAAATAAACTTTTAGAAAGTTAATAGTTATAATAGTTACAAGCAGTAAAGGCCTTCCCCAAATCATGGACTATGAGGCTATGACCTGAATATATGAAGTCCAACTTGGTAAGAGCTTGCCAAGTGGTGTAAACTGCCTAAGAAAACAAAGGGCTACATAACTGGAGCTACCTAAATTATGACCATTAATTCCATAGATCATAATCATTTTATAGGAAGTATCATTTATAAATTTCAATTTTATTTAGGTAGCTTAATGTGGTTGCACATTTAACATCCAGTATTAAAGTTCTATATTTATAGCTCAAAGTATTATACAAAGTTCTACATCTTCCCAAGAAAAGACTTGTCAAAAATAAAATCACTAACATTTGCCAATTTTTACATTTTTCAAGATTCTGAGAGTAGGGTAAGTGAGGAATTCACCAGAGTGAAGTATCCACCAATCTCAGTTGATGATAGACAACATGATACTATTTATTTGTTTGCTTGTTTTATTATGTCTTGCTTTGTTTGAGGCCAAAAAAATGGGAATATGCAAATTAAAATAAATAACAAACATCAGGCTGAAAGTTTTCCTGGCCACCAAAAGAAAATTAAAAAGTTGGGACATGATTATTTATTATTTCTAACAGAGAGAATAAAATGAGTTCCTTAAAGGAAACAAAACCCTTAGTACTAAGCTGTTAAAAGCATTAAAAACAATTTCTCATGTGGAGCTGCACTTAGCAAGCACAAAGTGACATGGAAGTAAATACACGCATATATCATTTCATTAATGATAGCATTAATTAACGATATAAAGAAATTAACGAGATAGCCAGTACCATTTAATAAATTGATGTTTGCAGAAGGCATGAAACCCCTGTATCAGGGACAAATAAATTTACTACTCTAGCACAGTAAAAAGCATAGGCTTCATCGTATGTCCATCAGATGCCCTTGCCACCCAAACTCACAGGGCAACATAGATCTCAAATATTTGCTGATTTGGGGCTATCCTGTGCACCTATGTTCTCCTTGCCTTCAATAATCCACTGGCGTCAGAAGGCAACTGAGCAGGTGTTTTAATTTATATCTTTTGAGAAAAATAGTCATGCTTAGAAATTTGCCTCAAACAGCACTAAAAATAAAAGCAATGGAATGTCTAATTACTTTTAAGCTTTGTACTAATTTAAGGACTTGTTAAATTCTATTGCATCGTTTACTCCTAGGTTTTGGTTCACTATTTAATTTTGTTTATGTATTTCCTCTTTATGGGTTGGAAATATGTGCTGTGAATACTAACAATGTTCTGTGAACATATTTCCAAGTTAAATCGGATTCTTTCTGCTACTAGCTGTGCCACATATTGCTGCAATGTAGTTGACATCATTGTGAAACAAAATGAAACCTAGAGCAGAATATTTCCATAGCTGTCTTTGACCAAGTGTTTATTTGCAAACTATTGTTGAATTATCAAAATTTCAAAAAATTAGCTTTCTTTTTGCAATTTAAATCCATTCATGCAGCATATCATATTTATACTAGTAATTGCAATTACCATTGATAATAAGATTTTGTCAGAAAAACTCTTGTGAGGTTATGCATCGAGTGAAAACTATGTAGAGGAAGGCCTGTTGAAAGAGCTCTAGCAAAATAGTTATTGGACTCTTCAGCAGCTGCCATAAAGTGAAACATATTTATTTCTGTGTGCCAAGAATCCACTTAAGATATGTAAGTCCTATTATATATAGAACATTAGCATGTATTTTAAATAGAGTGTGGTAATTCATAAAAGTCATTGCAGGAAGAAACATGAAATCTCAAATATGTTTGTTCATGCCACACCAGGTAACTTAGTTACTAAACAACAAACAACTGCAACAGCTTATTATCCCTAAGGGAAGGTATACAATGTTGACAGATGTTCCTTTTACTTAAACCGAGTTAAATGTATTTCTTTTCTTTCTTTCTTTCTTTCTTTCTTTCTTTCTTTCTTTCTTTCTTTCTTTCTTTCTTTCTTTCTCTTTCTTTTCTTTCTTTCCTTCCTTCCTTCCTTCCTTCTTTCTTTTTCTTTTCTTTTTTTTTTTGAGACAGAGTCTCACTCTGTCGCCCAGTCTGAAGTGCAATGGTGTGATCTCAGCTCATTCCAACTCCCGCCTCCTGGGTTCAAGTGATTCTCCTGCCTCAGCCTCCTGAGTAGCTGGTATTATAAGCATGTGCCACCACACCTGGCTAATTTTGTATTTTTAGTAGAGACCGGGTTTCTCCATGTTGGTTAGGCTGGTCTCGAACTCCTGACCTCAGGTGATCCGCCTGCCTTGGCCTCCCAAAGTACTGGGATTACAGGCATGAGCCACCACGCCTGGCCCAAACACAATTAAATGTAATTCTTTGTTACACAAAGCCTTAAAAAAGGTTAAATTGAGGAATCATTTGCAATAATGATAGTAACATATTTGATATGATAGTCTCATATAACATTGTATCGCTTATGTCTGCTTTAACTGAGGAGCAGATAAATATATAATGTTAAATGAAACAGGGCTGAAAAAATAACATATTATGTTCATAGAATTAGATGACGGTTTTTATTTATTAAGTTTGATCATAGCATAATCGAGTAAAAACTTTTAGCCATTTGGAAATTTGTTATTCACTTTATGTAAACATAGCGTAAATAACTAAAGTGAACAAAATAATGTATTTAGTTTTTTTGTGGTTTATGTAAGTTAGATTTACAACTTTTATTTTTTCCATAAGTAAGGAAACAAAGAGTTACAAATTTTCTTAAGAGAATAAAAAAAAAAAGAAAAAAGACAGTGTTCATTTTATTCTATCATTTAGTTGTATTTGATTAATATTTTCCTTTCACTATAAACATATATTAAAATTATACCTTTCATCAGCAAATTAATATTTAATGCCACAGTTTCATAATATTGTTCTGATGTTTAAGGTATAAAGAAGAAATATGGACCACACTCACAGTGAAATTATAACATATGATTTTCCAAAAACCTGTAAGCCAGAGTCTGTCACTACAGTCTCCTAGACTCTTTATTAATGCATATATTTGATTAGTCCGTAGACACTTTTTTCCTGAAAGTAATCTGCATTATTCCTAAACTAGTATTCTGCCTGACCCCTTAAATGCTGGATCTGCGGATGATGCTGAACCTGTATATACTGGCTCCATCTTAAAGGTTGTTAAAGTCAGTGCCTGCCCTGGTTGGGCAAGATGTTGTTAAATCCTTCAAATATTTCCCTATTGCTTCTATGTAGTCAAGATAATGAAGTGGTTGATTGATCATTTCAGATGATGTATTGAAAAATACTGAATGCTTTTTGAACATTATAATAAATGTAGAAAAATAATGATCATAAATTATTAATGGCTATAATGAGAGGAAGAATATTGCTCTATTAGAAGTACAAGTGTAGTGTTGACTATGTCTGCCTTTGTTCATTTAAAAATTTCATTACAGGCCTGGCGCAGTAGCACATGCCTGTAATCCCAGCACTTTGGGAGGCCAAGGCGGGTGCATCACGAGGTCAAGAGATCAAGACCATCCTGGCTAACATGATGAAACCCCATCTCTACTAAAAATACAAAAATTAGCTAGGCGTGGTGGCGTGTACCTGTAGTCCCAGCTACTCGGGAGGCTGAGGCAGGAGAATCGCTTGACCCTGGGAGGCAGAGGTTGCAGTGAGCCAAGATCACACCACTGCACTCCAGCCTGGGGACAGAGCAAGACTCTGCCAAAAAAAAACCATTACAATAATTTTTTCATTATATTTTGAACCATGCCAGACTATATATGAATGATAAAATTTTTATATGATTATTAAGAATTATTTTTACTTACATATTATATAAATTCATTTTCTAAATTCAAATTGCTATATATCCCAATTATTAAA
This sequence comes from Homo sapiens, assembly GCF_000001405.40. Taxonomy (NCBI): domain Eukaryota; kingdom Metazoa; phylum Chordata; class Mammalia; order Primates; family Hominidae; genus Homo; species Homo sapiens. The sequence continues at coordinate 85,226,632 of NC_000013.11, forward strand.
TCTTTATAAGATGATGAGCTTAAACAAAGAATATTCCCAAGGAATTCTAAAGAATGTAAATTTGTAATAGATAATATCATAGTGTCACTGCCAAGAAAAATGTTCAAGTCTGAGTGCCTCTGGAAATTCTCCTTTAAGATATTCAAACTAATAATGTTTATTGTTTGATTTTTCATTTGCTTTGTCTACCTTTTTTTTTTTTTGAGACGGAGTCTCCCTCTTGTCACCCAGGCTACAGTGCAATGGTGTGATCTTGGCTCACTGCAACCTCTGCCTCCCGGGTTCAAGCAATTCTCCTGCCTCAGCCTCCCGAGTAGCTGGGACTACAGGTGCCCGCCATCACGCTTGGCTAATTTTTGTACTTTTACTAGAGACAGGGTTTCACCATGTTGGCCAGGCTGGTCTCGAACTGAACTTAGGTGATCCGCCTGCCTCGGCCTCCCAAAGTATTAGGATTACAGGCGTGAGCCACCATGCCCGACCTGCTTTCTCTTCTAATGCAAAAAAAAAAAAGAAAGCTACTAATACATTTCTACAGTGAGAAAGCATCATTGATCATCTGCGACATTAAAACATAAACCTAAAAACCATTTGGCTTTTCAATATCCTCTATTTTTGCACATTTTGACTTCCAGAAAATTTTCAGAAAACATATTGCAAAACTGAAAACAAAACCAACAAAAACTCCTATGTTCAGATAACTATTATAATTTTAAAATAAGTGTTATTTTTATTAAAATAATAAATGCTATTTGAAAAGTGTGAAGGAAAGATTATAAACAGATAAGTCAGCAACATACTGGAAGATGGAAAGCTTTTGTTAAATTGTAGCTGACGTTGAAGCATAAACATACCTACTTGTTTAATGGTGAACACAAATGAGAATGTGCCCGTTGTAAAGACAAGAATCCAGAAAGGCTCAGCAATTTCGGCACGAGTTACCCAAATCCCAGAGTATACGACACATTGAAAATATGTGCATTTGATGTAGTGTATGTAAGGAGAAATTCTTTCTCTCAGATTTCACAGGCAGCTGCTTACTTTCTTTGCCTAAACAGAATATAGGAAGATCATGTTTGAGACAGAAAACAAAAGAGGCTTTATATCCAATAGCGCCAGGTAGGAATTGGAATGCAGGTGAATGTCATAACAAAAATTGAATAAGTAAAAATCCACATACTGAATTACATTACATAAGCCATATTTTCCTACACGGATCACAGACTACTTGCAATCATTTTTGTGATCCTATTGTAAAAGAGAGAAAATTGCCCTATAAATAAATTATTCAATAAAGAAAAAGACATGGGCTCATGGAAGCAAGTGATATTACATAAGAGTAAAAGCCAAAGCTCTGTTTGCTAGTCCAGGCCAGCTGAAGGATGTCCCACCAGTGCAGTAGCACGGAGCAGAAACCCTGAACTCGGTTTAATGCCTTGCTAACTGCCTTTGAAATTCTTAATAATTCTATATTTGACCTTTTGTAAGTGACACCCTATAGGACAATGAATGTCACATGTACATAAGGAGAAAATATATGTTTGCAATTCTGTAACATTCCATTTGTATATAGCATTCTACATGCCTCAGGAGCACACAATTCTGGAGGTCACAAGATGCCCTGGAGTTTAGCAAGACCCCAAGCTGGTGCAAGGTAATTGTGTTGCATATATGATTAAGTGGGGCACTGACAGCCTGAGAAGCAACACATTCCTTTTGAACCAGAACTTGCTTTGAAAGCACATAAAATGCCACGCATGGTGTCTCACGCCTGTCATCCCAGCACTTTGGGACAAAGAGGCAAGAAGATTCCTTAAGGCCAAGAGTTTGAGACTAGCCTGGGCAATACGGTGGGGACACGCTCTCCATACACACCCCCCACCACCCCGCCAAAAAAAAAAAGCAAAAAAGCTAATCACATTCTAAGAAACAAGAATGACCAAGGAACTCTATCATATTCTTTATTTTTCATGTTACTTCCCCGTATTAGTAAATCACATGCAATTAAAAAAAATGATGACAAAGAAGGAAAGGGAAATGTCAGGTAGTCACAGCTTCTTTTCTTACTCATCAGTAAACCAGTAGTATACAGTGTTGGTAGAATGGGTTTACCAAGTGAAATAAGAATACATTAGGTAGTTTTGTGTAGTGCTTTCACACTTCTAAGAATGAGATTCATGCGAGTTTACAAATGATGCAATAAAATTTAAGTAATTTTGGTGATCCTTCACATGAGTTACAAGCTATTAAGAATGTATTTAAAATAGGCATTGCGTAATATAAAGATGAACAGTAAAAAATTGTGTTAATCTGATTTTTTAAACTTAGAAAAAAACACTTAAAAAGATACCATGACAATGAGAGAGAGAGAGATGAAACTGCAGAAAAAACAATGAAAGTTTTATATTTTAGTCCCATTATTGACAGTTTTTTCTTGCTTTTTGAAAGAGGGTTTTCATGTATTCACTAGGTCCCGCAAGTTCTATGGCTGTGCAGGGTCTGATGCTAGTTGATAGTGACCTAGGACTACAGCTGAGTCTGACGTGAAGCTCAACCTTTCTAAATCAGAATAGAAGAGCCAATGTAAAATTGCAAGGCTCTTTTTCCCAAAGGGAAGGGGGGAAAGAGAAGAAAGATCTGTAACCTGGTGCATTTGACTGTATTGAGTTCTGTCAGAAAATACAGGCCTGGATTACTGACAGATATTTATTTTAAAAAATAAGTAGAAAAAGTCAATTTGAATATAGTTGTTAGAAAATGTTATACCAAGAGAAAAGGTAATCATGGTTTCCTACATTCTTGCTACAAAGAGTATTTGGAGAACCAGAGCACTGGCGTCATGTAAGATATTTTTGGAGATATTTAGATAATCTTATCTCAAGTCATACTTAAGATCTACTAAATCAGAATCTTCAAAAGCATACCTGGGAAATCTTGCTAATGTGTAGATTCCAATTTAAATTCTAGAAGTGTCTCCCAGAGCTACTACTCCAACTGAAAAGCTGCCAGGTGAGGCTGATGTTGCCATCCTGCCTTTAGCACTAATCAACATGTCTCTGCGGTTATCCAGATGTTCATAAATAAACACAGAAATGTAAACACCAAATATTGCCTTAACTAAACTCTGTAGCAAATAGTAAGTTAGAGAGAGGAAAAGGACATGCTTGGGGAGGGGAATGGTAACAATGCTAATATATTTTTTAGCACAGGAAGATATTAGTAAATTATTTCTAAAATAGAAAAGAATACCTCCTTATATTAAGACCAATTATTGTATGAAATGCTAACACAGTCATCTTGAACAAGTAATTGAATTCAGTGTAAAAATTCAAAAATTACCCTCTCATTTTTTCATTAGACATTAATTAAACAGAAGAATTTATGAAAGTTTACAGCATTAAAACATATGAAAAAAGAAAGAATTGCAAGTTAGTATGCATATACGTTTGAAAGTGGAATTTGCTTGCATCTTCTAGATTGAATTAAGATAATGGACACTTGTACAAAAATGCTCTGAATTTCAGATTTATCTGGAAAATAAGAGTCGGTGGAAATGCAAGCTGATTTTGCAAGCATATATATCAAGAAGACAATTGTATGTGACAATTATATATAAATAAAAGTTATACACGTATAAAACAAAATGTGAGTGTTGATATCCATTTGTCCTGATAATAAAAGGACATACTTCAATATTATAAATATCCTCAGTTAAAAATATATTAAAATAAGTGCATAATATATCCATATATATTAACCGAGGATATTTATGATTTCATTTGAATAGAGTCAGATTACTTTGTGATTTTCATCAGAGTATTTTCATCAAAGTGTCATGTTTTTCTTCAAAGTATTTTCTATTTTCCATTTGTCTTTATTGTAATGGGACAAAAAATTAAACTACTTTAACGAAAATATTGTCCTTTTTATTTTCAGTTCTCTGACTTCTCTATTCTATCCAAACATGTGTGACTTCTTTTGCTTGGCAAGAGAATAAGCAAAATTGTAAGATGTTTTAAGACAAAGTTCTGTGTTGGTACAGTTCCAGATTTTGGTGAAGTTCCAGACATTTCAAATCATTTAAACAACAACAACAACAAAAACAACAATAACAAAAGCAGCAAAAATTCATATGGTCCAGAATGGGGCAATAAAACATTTCCTTTCAGCTTTGTTTGCTTTCTGCATCCATTAGCTAAATGCTTACCACACAAGAAGCACAATGCCTTTTCATCCTTTGTGCTAAGCAATGAAAGTAAAACCGAAAGATACACAATTTTCACCCCCACATTCTTTCTTTGACATTTTCTGCATTAAGCTGAGATGAATGTAAACAAAGGCAGATGTCCATAATCATAACGTCAAGATGTTTTCGTTAGTTCATCTCAAATGGAGATTATGCTACACATTCTAGTATGGGTATGATGAAAACTATGCATTCCTTACACACGCTCTGCAAAACGTGATGGGCCCCAAGATTCTTTGAAATGAGGCATTATCTTTACAATAAAACTTAAATAGTTTCACCAAAAGATTTTTCAAAATAAGAGATGAGATTTAATTTTTAAACATAAAATTTTGGTCTATTCATTGAATCTGCACATAATCTGACAATTTAAGCACCCAAAGACATATAGGTAAAGGTTATTCCCCAGTACTAATTATATACAATACTTTGTGATATATAGTTATTTTGCATCCCCAATTAAATTTTAAAGACTTTCATATCCATGATTATGCTTTATGTCTTTAAATAGTTTTCATGCTTTTATGAATCAACTTCCAGGAAAAAATATGATACTTTGTAAATTTGTATTTGTTGTTATTGTAGCTATTCATTTCCAGAAAAAAAATGATGATCTAATGTTTAATGAGCATCTATTATCTCATATTCTGAGCCTTGCTTATAATTTTTTTCCAAATTATTATACTTAACTAATTACTTAGTTAATTATAGGATACTACCCAGAGCAACCAGATATTACTGATATTCATTTCAGTGACTAGTAACGCAGCCTTCACTTTCCACCTGTGTGATAAGTAACCTCTTAGAGTCTATAGAATTCCTGTACAAGAACTCTTGTAATTAAAACTGTAACTGGTTTAATATCTATGCCATGTCCTTTGTTGCAAGGTACCCTCTACAGCAACACTGCTTCACCAGACACCATTTATAGTCTACAAAGTGACACACATCTATCAAGTGTGAAGAAAGGTTTTCTGCAGAGCTGTGTCACACCTGATCACCTGTGCACTAAATAGCAAATTTATTCCAAGACCAGCAACGTGAAGCCATCTGACAACCTGAAGCCATCTGAGATACTGGAAAGAGCATCAGAAAATTCGAACAGAACTGCCATCCAAGTAGAAATCACTGGACCATACTATTCACCTAATTACTTCTATTTACTATTTCCGTCTCTATTTACTACTTAAAAGAAGTATGAGTTAAAAATGTAAAATAAAGCTGCAATTTTTAATTATGAAAATAAAACTTGTTAAATGACATGCATTTAAACTCTGAGGCAATAAGTTATTATTACCCATATAGGTTTACTCATCTATATAGAATTGTCATAGTGAGATTATCTTTCCAATATTGATTGTTTCCAATTATGTTGAGCTTTAAAAATAAAGAATTATTTCTATTATAGGGCATGACCACCATAGCCTGGTTTCTTTCTCCCAAATCTCAAAAGAAAAAGAAAAGAAAAATTGAATATACATTTCTAAAATGTCTCTTAGAGTCAAATGACAATGACGAAAGAAAGGAAACTCTCCTTTGAAATTTGAGAATAAAAATTTTATTATCTATCTGAGGCAGTCTATTCTTTTTTGTTTCCAACAAAATAGGTATGCAAAAATTAATTAATCAGTATAGTATACTAAGTACACTGTGAAGGATCAATTTAGACACTCATGATAAATTTCATGAGCTCCATTTTTAAGCAGCTTTCAGCCTAGTAGAGAAGTGGTGTGGTGAGGATGGTGGTGGTGGTGGTGGTGAGACTTTGTTGCATGCCATCAGATAAATGTTGATACATTTTGCTGCTCATGAAAGATCCTTTTGTTTTGTCTTGAAATTGTTGTATAGCTATTAAAGATTCTGTATACTTAAAAGGTTTATAGTAATATAAATAAATAAATTACTTCTTGATTTCTACTGTATCAATGAAAACAGCAAAAATACTTATTAGGAAATAATTGTGAGGTGTTCACAAATAAATAAACTAGAGCAGCGCAATGATTAGACTTTTTTTAAATCAGAATCTCTGAATTAAAAATTCTTTGCATCACTAACCTTCTTTGTAAATCCTGAGCAAGATATTTATCTACAAACTTCAATTTCTCCATCTCTTAAAAGTGGATAATAATAATGTCTGCCACATTGGTTTAATGATATAATTCGATACACAAGGTCATTAAGCATTCAGTAAATATTGTTGTAATTGTTGATAATGTAAATAATGTATTATTATTATTGACCTTTTGAGAACTAATTATATTGACTGATCAAGAGACTATGTAGGTGTTAATATTTTATCAGGAAGAATTTCTTATATAATTTGTAAGATATTCACCAGCTCTCAAACATTAACAGAGCCACCTGAAAATGTGTGAACTTAAAAAAATGTTTGTTTTAGTTCACAGATAGTATAAACTGTGGTAGTGGCATGGGTATATCAATACTACAAAATAGTGATGAGTGAGAACATTAGAATATGTTTGTGGCTGTCATCTGTTTAGAAAAGCCTATGGAGAAAATGTGGGTGAGAAACAAGAAAAATAATAAGTAATATATTCATGACAGGCTTGGTAACAAAATATGCAAAAAGAATTGATGAGATTACGTAGGACACACAAATAGATTGAACACCATGTGGTAGCAATGCTGTTTATTATGCAAAAAATATGTGTAAGAAACTTTAGAGGGGTGTTTAGCTTAAACCAATTCATATATTCCTATTTATTTTGATTAGAGGATGTGTTAGTAGGATAAGAAAAAAGTTAGTACCCTTAATGTAAAGAGCATATTATTATTATTTTTTCAAATTTCACAGCAAATTGAAATCACACTTATACCTGGAAAAGAAACTGCTCTGCAAAGTCTATTCAGTCATCTCTCAGTATCTGTGGTAGATTGGTTGTGGTGAGACCCCTTCCAGACATTGCAATTCACAGACAGTCAAGTCCCTTATATAAAATGGTGTACTTGCGTATAACCTACACACACTGCTGGCCACTTTAAGTCATCTCTAGATTACTTACACTACCTAATATGATATAAATGCTACATAAATAGTTGTTGTATTTAATTGTTTAAGGAATAATGATAAGAAAAAAATGTATGTATGTTCTGTATGGACACAACTATCCATTTTTTTCCAAACATTTTCTATTTGAGGTTGATTGAATCTATAGATGTAGAACCCAAGGATACGGAGGGCCCATTGTATACAATAGCCAAATTACTGTAGATAAAACGTCTTATAAGGTAAATGCAAATACAGAATGATATAGCACTTATATAAATTTTTTACAGGGAGAAAAGTAACTATATCTGTGTAAAGTTGTATGTTTACTTTTGAAAACAGTGTTTTGTTCTGATCCTAATATTATAATACTTTCCTGGTAAGCATTAATTAGCTATATCACAAAAGTACTGTTTTTTTCTTTAAGCTATCTAGGCATAAATCTTTTACTATCAATTCCACTAAAAGACATTTTTCATTATATCTACCATTTATCCGACACATTAAGGCCTTTCAAAATATCCCAGATTAAGTGGGGTCTTATTAATACACAGTATGTTGTTTACTCCATGTAGAGAATACGCAGTAGACTATCAAGTGTGAGATGATTTTTCAATAGAAGAAACCAGCTTTTTTAGTTAATTTTACCAATATAACTGATAATGCATAATGAATTCCTAAGATCAAATCATTCTCAAGTTTTTGTTTTGTTTTGAATATAAACTAGCTTTTTCAAACTTTCCAATTGTACATTAGGTAATGAATGAAATGACACAATTAACATGAAAATTGTATTAAGAAAGGGTTTCTTTCATATAAATATATAACACATTGTATAAAATCTCTTCTTTTAGATTATTTAGTTGTATTCTTTCCTCTGACATGCATTCTCTAATTTTTAAACTAATGTTTTTCTCACTAATTTAGGCAAACTGTCTAGTTTTATTTTGTTTCAAAATTAAAATATACTTAGAAGATTTTCCAATGTAGTTACTTTTCAAGTTATTTGATCTTCAACTGTAGAGAGAAATAAGCAACAAGATAAAGTATAGTCACACATAGCTTATTGTTGTTGCAGCAGGAACAATGTTTGTTGGTTTTAAATATCATATGAGATGTTCCAGCTAATGCCATTAGTCAGGAAAATAAAATAATAGATAGATAGATAGATAGATAGATAGATAGATAGATAGATAGATGATAGATAGATAGACAGACAGAGATATAAAGAACTGAAACTGTATTTGCTCACAGATAACATTATTGTTTATGTAGAAAATCCCAAACAATCAACAGCAATAATAAAAACAAAAAAACTGCAATATGCAATTATGGCAAAGTAATAAGATACAAGGTTAATATATAATAGCCAATTGCTTTCTTATATACCATCAATGAACAGTGGAATTTGAAAATTGTATAATACCATTTATATTTCCAAAAAAATTAAATACTTAAATATATATTTAACAAAATGTGTATAAGATCCCCATGAGGAAAACTACAAAGCACTGATAAAATCTAAATAAATAGAGAGATATTCTGCATATGTGGAAAGTCTCAATATTGTCAACATGTTGGATTCTTCTGGTTTGATCTACAGATTCAATATAATCCCAGTGAAAATCCTGGCATGCTTTTTGTGGATATGAACAACCTGATTCTAAGTCTGTGTGGAAAGGCAAAAGACACAGAATAACCAAGGATATTAAAGGAGCAGAACAAAGGCTGTCCAGGGCTGACACTACTATAGTTCAAGGCTTACTATACACCTATAATAATCAGTGCAGTTGATACTGACAAAGTAATAGATAAATAGAACAATGGAATAAAATAGAGAACCCAGCAATAGACCAAAACAAATACAGTCTGCTGATCTTTGATGAATAATTGAAGGCAATTTAATTAAGAAAGGATAATATTTTCAACTAATGAACCTGCAAAAATTAATAACCTAGACATAGAGCTCATATGTAAATGTAAAATGGAAATATAAAACTCCTAGAAGATAGTGTATGAGAAAATCTAGGTGACTTTGGGCTTAATAATGACTTTTTAGGTACAACAAAAACAGGATCTATGAAAGAAAAACTGGATAAATAAATTCATTAATATTAAAAACCATTATTCTTTTTAAAAAATGAAATTACAAATAACAGACAGGGAGAAAGTCATATGAAGGATCTGTGTCCAAAATATAGAAAGAACATTTAAAAATCAACAATAAGAAAATGAACAGCCCAATTTAAAAGGGGGCAATAAATCTGAATAGACACCTCACCAGAAAAGATATACAGATGGCAATCAAGCATTCAAATTATGGTCCACATGATATGTCACTAGAGAATTAAAAATTAAATATAATAATGCAATATCACTACACATTTATTAGAATGGCTACAATTCAAAACATTGACGGCAGCACATGCTGGTACAGGAATCCTCATTCACTGATGTTGGGAATGCAAAATGGTACATTCACTTTGGAAGATGGTTTAATATTTTCTTACAAATCTAAACATACTCTCACTATATGTTCCAGCAATTACACTCCTTGGTATTGTTTCAAATGATTTAGAAACTTACATCCACACACAAAAAAATGTTATGTAATGTTTACATAAAATTTATTTCTGATTTCCATACTGGGAGGCAGCCAAGATATTTGTGATGAGTCACTTTTTCTGTGTCAAATTGACTGGATCATGGAGTCATGGATTCCACAGATATTTAGTCAAACATTATTTGGGTGTGTCTGTGAGGGTGTTTTTGGATGAGATTTACATTTAAATGGTAGGCTGATCCCATTCTTTCTAGTAAATAAAGAAACCAACAGACAGGCAGACAGGCCGATAAACACATACATTCTATTGATTGTTTCTCTGGAGAACACTGAGTAATACAGTGTCCTTCAATAGATGAATGAATACCTAAACTGTGGTACATCTCTACTGTGGGTTATTACGCACTAATAAAAAGAAATAAGATACTAGCCATGAAAAGACAAGGAGCACCATAAATGGGTACTGCAAAGTGAAAGAAGCCAATCTGGGAATATTTAATACTACATACTATATGATTCCGACCAAATGACTTTACAGAAAAGATAAAACTATAGGGACAGTAAAATGTCCAGTGGTTGACAGAGATTCAGTAAGAGGGAGCAAGAGGTAAATTGGTGAAATACGAAAGAATATTAGTGTAGTGTAACTATTCTGTATAATACAATAGTGGTGGATAAATGATATTGTATACATTTGTCAGAACCTATAGAATGTGCAATTCAATATTGAACCCTAATAATGGGGAAAACTGGAGGGATATAACAGGGTAAATAGGAATTATCTGTACTACCATTCATTATCCTGTAAAACTAATACTGCTATAAATAATAAAGTTTATCAATGTTTAAAAAAATCTCAATAATTTTTTAAAAATAAAATAAAGCAGGCAGCATGTATATTTAGTTTTCTCCATAAGATACATATTTTATAAAAAAATAAAAAATAATGACATCTTTAAAGTAGCATACTTTAACATAGAAAACAAGAAAATAATTATTCTAGCTAAGATAAGTGAAATGCATCTTTTTTATTACTATAATTTTCAATTAAATATGTTCATACATTTCCTTTTTATTACAGAAGTTAGCACTAAAAAGCCACACGGTAATTACTAAGTAAGGAACAGTTAAAATAATTCTATTTAGTGTGGTAAGAGTTAATGGAGAAAAGAAAACATTTATGCTAATAACGGTTTTAAGTCTGATTCACCGTGATATGCTACTCAGAAGAAATAATATTGCTTTCAACAAAAAAAGAATTATCAATAAAAAACAGTAACTAAATTTTAGAATTATAATTGTAGCTGTAGCAAAATACCTATTGGAATATTGAACTTACTTTTCTTTTCTCATTTCTCTCTTCCATATTCTTTCTCAAGACTAAAAATCAAACCCACTGAACCAACAAACCACTATCAACTGTTGTTTCTTATATTATTTATAGGAGAATAAATCAAAAGCCCTTGACTATAGCTGACTTCTCTGAGACACTGGAAATGACAATAAGGGATCACCATGTGCATATTTCCTCAAGCCAATATTTAACAGAATTTCTAAAATTACCTCCCAACTGGGCGCAATGTCTCACGCCTGTAATCCTGGAACTTTGGGAGGCTGAGGCGGGTGGATCACCTGAGGTCAAGAGTTCGATACCAGCCTGGCCAATATGGCGAAACACCATCTCTACTAAAAATACAAAAATTACCCTGGCATGGTGGTGCACGCCTGTAATCCCAGCTACTCGGGAGGCTGAGGCAGAAGAATCCCTTGAACCCAGGAGGTGGAATTTGCAGTGAGCCAAGATCGCGCCATTGTACTCTAGCCTGGGCGACAGGGAGAGACTCTGTCTCTAAATAAATAAATAAATAAATAAAATAACCTCCTGCATAATATCAAGAGGCAATACTGAAAGGGACTTCACTGACTCCATAGCATGGTTCAATACATACTTAGCATGTATTTAATAATTTTTGAATAAAAAATCGATAATAAAGTGAGATGAGTCGTTGACCACCAGGCTATTCAAATGCTATTATTCTGTAAACTAAAATATTATCTTCAAAACATGTTGGGAACAAGTATTGAAGAATATTTAGGACAGATGCCATTGGGGAAGTGTCTAGACAAAAATAATGACAGTAGTTTTTTAGTTTCTCTAGTTAATTTTTTTCTTTTTTGCTGAAACAATTAATGAGTAGATTATTACCCACTACTTTTTATCTTATAGAAGGAACATACCCCATATTGCCCATAATAGTGTATTTGATTATGTTGCAAGCATGATGCTGAATACTGGAGATATGTATACCAATAAATACCAATAAAAAAGTTATCTGCAAAGAACTAAAGTGCAAGGTAGACACATACAGTGAGTTGTGAGCTAGCAGAAGCAATATGGCATATTGTTTACAAGGATTGGGTATCACACCAAACTGCCTGAATTGGAATCCTGGCTCTGCCACTCACTAGTCTGTGTACCTGGGTATGTTTTTAACTTTTCTAGGCCTCAGTTTCCTGATCCCAATAATGGGGATAATTATTATCAACTTCACAAATTGTGAGATAATGGATTAAGATTGTTCATATAAGTTCTAAGAACAGCTTATGGAACCTTATAAATGTTTACATTTTATGACACTTTAGCCTGAATATAACTGCAAATCCATTAAAACTAAGAAAAATACAGAAATATTAATAAGATGAGCTTCAGGATTGATTGAAGCAATGATTCGAAGATGAATAATTTTTTTTCCTTTTTTCTCTGCCAAAGTGATATTGTCCTACACATCCCCAAACTGGCAAATGGAAGAAGAATGGTGAGCCATAATCACCTGGAATGCAGAATTGCATCACTGATACACATGGCACAGAATATAAATGATAAAGTAATAATAATTATAGCCACAATGTACATTATAGGAGATCAGTAAAGAATGCTAAAAGTATATAATATCAAGAAGGAGAGGTTATCACACTGGTAATTGGGGAGTGAATTAGAAAATATTTCTCAGAATATGAACTTAGATTGGAAAAAAGGTTTGGGGAACTCAAGTCGGATAAGGACAAGATATTATAGACAGAAGTCTTAGAACTTTTCTGTCTCTAGTCATATGGGACCTAATCACATTTCCAAACTAATTTTAGGAAAGTCTAAGGGAAGTCTTTAACCATCTTAGGGACAAGGTACAAATAAGTCGTGATTATTTATTCTCTTCTAGCTTCCTTGCTGCTCTAATTTTTCTTCTACTTTTTATTATATAAAGTTAAAAAAGAAAAGAAAATCCACAAATCATCAAGGTGATGGTGAGACAAAAATATTGTACTGGATCTTTAAAATTGAATTAAAGTGTTCTTTAATTTATTATTATTATTATTATTTTGAGACAGGGTCTCACTCTGTCACCCAGGCTGGAGTATGGTGGCAGGATAATGAGCTTACTGCATGCTCAACTTCCCCAGCTCAAGTGACCCTCTCACCTCAGCCCCCGAAGTAGCTGTGACCACAGGCATGCACTACCATACCCAGCTAACTTTTAAAATTTTGTAGAGTTGAGGTCTCACTGTGTTGCCCACTCTGGTCTCAAATTCTGGGCTCAAGCGATCCTCCCACCTCGGCTTCCCACAGTGCTGAGATTACAGGTGTGAGCCATCATGTCTGGCAAATGAAAGTATTAAGTTGATTTATTTTAACTTATAGTAAGGTAATTTTAGTCATCTTTAAGCACAAATTCAAGTCTCTACAAGTAATAACATCTATAGCAAAATACTGTAGCACCGTTTTGTAACCAAATGATTTATTTTGTTGATCCTTGGTTGGAATTTAGAAGTTGAATAATGTTGATTTTTTCTGGGTCAGTTTCCTAATGCATATATATCTATAATAAAACTTTTTCTAACTGCCTTATAGGTTAAAATACTAATCAAATCAATCAAATACTATGAAAATGATTTCATTTTGTCAATAGAATAATAATTATGATTCAAACTAATTCAATTAATATAATTCCAAAAGTTAAAGACAATTATAAATGCATATTTTGTTTCTACATAGAAAAATAGTAACTCAGAAATTCTAGAGAAAATAAGAAGAATAAAATGTTGATCTGCTGTCACAGATGAGTACAGATATCTGTTCCTACAGGTAGGGCCATCTGTGTGTACCGCAGGTTTATTGCTCTGTGACAACTTCCTGCTGAATGTTAACACAGCTAAATCTAGAGCAAATTGTATGAGTATGGCTTCATTTTCAAGTATGTTAGTTGTTTATTTTGTTGTCAAGAAATGTTTTTATTTGTTATTGTTAAGTTTCATGGCCCCAGTAATTTTATCGCACATTTAAGAAAAAAATCATTAACTACTCTTCTATATATTTGATTGCTTTGACAATCTACTCAAACTTAGAAATCATGTTATATTTTCTGAGTTATGTATTCTAACTTATCCCTAACCAAAAATTTTCAAATAAGAATCTATTCATGAACAAAATTTGTCAAGTATAATAGTGTATCTTTTAATCTATATAATGCAAAAGTTCCAGTTCTTTATTGTTCTTTTTATCTAATAAATAAGTAATTGTAACAGTAACCTCAAAGTATATGTACATATGTGTGTGCTTTCTATCATATTGTTTCATAAAAATGGTTAAACATTGTAAAATGTTAAATGTGGTAAAATGGTAAATGTGAATTAACAGAGTTGTGAATCCACCTCTTCTCCCTTTCTCTCCGTGGTTCCCCGAAATGCACCACTTCTTTTCCTGGCTATGCCTAGCTTCCACCTCAAGGACCTTTTCAAGTACATACTGGCACAAAGTCAAAAGTTTTAAGGTTGGGAGACATAGCAAGGTGCTTACTCATTTCCACTAAAAACAGATCTCCCTTTCCTTAAAATTGCACTGCTACCCACTGTCCTTCTGCACAAAAACAGAGCCTCATACAAATAGTAAAATCATGGTTGATATCCCCAGAACTCACCCAATTTGGCATTTTTTCCTAATCTAAGATGATGTTGCTGACATGATCTCTCACAACACTCCACCATTCTTCCTTGGCATATAAAACTGTACTTTAAAAATATTTCTTACACTTACTCATATATAATTTATATATTCAGTTGGGATTTTTCTCTGGCACTATGTACCTTTGCAAACTTCCTCTGGCTTCAAATACTTCATATAGGTCTTATATATATATATATGACAGAATAGACCTCCATCACAACCAATTTCTTGAAGTTCAGCATTTTATTTCACATTAATTTCCCCTTGGAGTGTTGTCCTTTAGGGTTCAGTTGCAAAGAACATAATCCATTCTATCTAGTTTAGGTAGAGTGAGGTTTCCTCCTAATTGGGAAGATAAATATTTCTTCATTCCTGGATACCTATCAACTTATTAATCTTTATAATTCTATTTTAAATGTTTTTCATAGACTTTTACTTACATCATTTATCCTAATTCTGATCCTTAAAATTTACTCTCAGCCTCTTAAATATGTGTCAAATTCAACAGAAATTTAACTTAATTCTTAAGAATTCTACATATTTTAAAATTTATATTTGACTGTTATTTTTTCTGCTGACAACATGTGCACCAAAAAAGAAGAAAAAAAAACAATGAAAATACACTTTTATACCCATGGCCATAAATAGTCATCTCCTAAATTTGGTAAGTTTATTAGTTAGCTTCTTTTAGTTGCAAAGAACACAAACATATGTGAATTACTTCAATTAGTGGAGGTTCATTTGTAGGATTAGAAGTAAATAATCCATTAAATAGTCCGACAGCTAGCTTCAAGGCAAACATTCTTAGGAACTCAGAACGGCACACAAAATACCTTAGATTTCTATCACAATTTATTTAAAAATTAAAATGTCTGTTTCTTTTCTTTACATCTGCCCTAAATCCCACTTCTTCCCCATTTCAGTAAATGGCATTGTTTCCTATAAACTTAGGCCAGGATCATGGGAGCTGTTCCTGAAATCTTTCTTTCCCCAGCCCCTCACACCTCATAACACTCCTGGCTTGCTCCTGCCAATTCTCCCTACAAACTTAATCACAAGTCCATCAGCAGGTACTGTCCAATCTTTGTTTTATTGAACAATCTATTATATAATGAATAAAAGACAGAAGATCCAACTGAAAGGAGAAATAACATTTCAAGAGTTTTACAAAATAGAACCCTTCTTGGATAAGACCTTTAAATAATGATTATAAAATGATAAAATGTATTAACAAAGCATTCAATAACAACCAAAGTATCAGAGACTATTTAAAACTCATACTTGAAAAAGAGCCCAAGAGAACTAATAGAAAGGCAAACATTGTTTTGGAATTAAAAAATGCTATGAATTGTTTCAACATGAAATTAGGCAGAGCTGAATAATCATTTAAAAGAGCAGTCATAGGAAATAAGCTAGAGTGCATGCAACCCAGAAAAGTGAAGAGGTGGAATAATATGTTTTCCTCAAAGTGTCCATCTCTGTCTCAGCTCATTTGTTAAATCTCTCAATCCCTTAGTTATGTATTTGATTCTGACTGACCTAAGACACCCTGGTTTTCAATTTTGCTGAGGATGTCACACTTGGCCTGGCATTCTCTAATGCTATAATGTAGGCAACAGAAGAGAAAACATTCAGAAGCATATGTGCCTTCATAACATCTTCACTAACACCAAATAAGAATTACTATATTCTGCCTACATGAAGACGAAACCAAATTGATCATATTGATCCATGTTTTTCTGAAATACTAATAGCTTTAATTATAAAATTTTAGGCTTCTTTAAGTTTTTCTGTTGATTTAAGATGGAAACCATTATTTTAATTATTTATTTAAAGGTTCAAAATATCTGAACATAAAACTCAAGACATTTCAAGCCAAAATTCTGAAAATTATGTGTTAGTATTTTCTTTAATTTTATAATGATTGTATAAATATTCTCATATTAGTTTGGTATCTTATGTCTTCAAAACCTCCAGAAACCTTTAAATTATATAATAAGCATTTTTTTTCAGATTGGTATACGTTTAGCTAACCATTTATTAAAAACAGAAAATTATTGTTAATATTACATTTCTTTCTTCATAGGCCCTGGAAAATGGTAGAGGTGACATTTATTTAGAAGTTATTTTACATATTAGCATAACATGTCGATCTAAACATCAAAGGAATTACTAGAAAAGTGCATACTTATAATTTAGGCAAGATGTTCTAATTTTCTAATAATTTCACTTAATTTTGTTTCAAAAAAACACACGCACAAGCAGAACTAAGGAGCAGGAATTATTTTCTTAGCTTCTTTCTTCTTAGACCTGCCAAAATATGTTAGTCTTGCCTTAGAATTGCCAATTCTGTGTCTAACTTAAAAAAGGTTTATAATTTTCATTATCAAGAATATGCAGAGTCCAAAAATACTATTCTTATTTTTGTTCTAGATTAGATTTACAAACCGTTGCCAACTGGAGATACTCCTAATAAAAATCCATGTTTCTCTGCTACTTTGCTTCATTTTTATAATGAACTTTGGCTTTGTTTTTCTGATTATCTCTCTCTTTGTACAGCTTGGAAAATTGCCTTAAACCCCTTTCCATTTGGTTAGGGCCTTGACATGAGAATTTATTTAGTCTGTTTTTTCTCTGAGAACTTATTTGCCAATGTTTTCCTTCCTCCTTCTTATACAGACAGCTTACTGGGTCTCAACTGCAGTTGTTTCCTGGAACCACATCAATACCACCCAACTTGGTGTACATTCCCAAAACTTAAACACATTTCCGATTCTGACTCCTTCAACTAGATCTCTTAAAATGGTTTTCCACTTGGATATTAAAAGCTTAATTTGCCACAAAAAAAAATGTTGAAAACAATATACCAGACTACTGATACTTTCATGGGACCAACTGTATTAAAAAATTCATTTCTTTTTATAGTCTTGGAAATTCCTATGTGGTATCTATACCAGTTTTCAATGAACTTCTTCATTGAAAAACCTCAATAAAGGTTTTCAAAAACTGTGAAAGAGAACCAGAGTGTTGAAAAAGGAACAAAAGTAGAAAGAGGTGGAAATGCTAGAATGGATTCATACAAGACCAGGTGACCTTAAATCGCCTGGTTATGTTCTTAGAGTTTCCTAAGAACAGGACTAAGTTAGTAGGGAATCCACTGATAAGGGGGACTCCAACATTTCTTAGAATTTCAATGGTAATCATTCTCTGCATGGTGGAGTTTTCAGTGGGAGGATAATGCCATGGACCACCTAATAATCAATAGACATGGTGGGACTATGGCATAGCCAAAACCAGATGGCAAAACTTACCCTTCAGAATCAACGAGGAAAGCATTACTATTAATGGGCAACAATTCCTGAGAGGCCATCAAGATAACTTGATCCACAAGGCTTTGTGATAATGACTAAATAGATCATGGTTTTCCTAGAAAAGAGATGGATAGCCAACTATGGTGTGACTTGATTTGTATCAATAAAAGCTCAAGAACTGGGGAGCATACATTTTTTAAGAGGGCAGACTTCATGTCAGATATCCTTACCATACACACCCCCGCCCCCACACACAAAAGACACAAGAAAACTTTGGGAGAGAATAGACATGTTGATTATCTGGATTGTGGTGGTGGTAACACAAGTGTACAGATATGTCCAAACCCACCAAATTGTGGGTTTGGACATATCTGTACACTTATATTAATTATATACAGTTTTTTGCATACCAATTGTACCTTTCATTAAAGCCGGGAAACATGGAAAAAAGGGAAAAGTATGGTTCTTCCCTCAGTTTCTAGTTCACAAATCCATAGGTCATTTCCACAGGTAGAGATCAGGTCCCCTTGAGGAAGAGCCCTGTAATGCCAAAGGACATGCATGGATTTACCAGCATAATTTTAAAAAATGTCAAGACTTTGTAAGAAATGTTTGATAAGTTGTCTTTTCTGACACTGACACCACACAACAAAAAATGCCATCATGGTTTTCCAGATAGAGTTGGAGTTACTAAGGCCATATGCTAAAAATTTTACTTTTTTTTTTTTTTTAGAGTTGAAGAGAAGGGGCCACCAACACAACCGTGGTTATTTCTTCTGAGTCAAAATTTAATAACTTGGGATTGATATATTAATAAATTCTCAAACCTTTGGTCACTAATTTATAGGTTACAGCATATTAGGGTCAGAAAGACCACATAAAAACAGACACTTCTCCCCACTTTGCCAACATAGTAATTTAGAAGCAATAACACATTGCATGATGATGTACAGTGATTAGTGATGCTAATAAAGACTTGGAGGTTGCCAGTGTAGCTGTCCTCTCTATACCTCATATTCAATTGTCTGTCTGCCCTCTGCAGATAACAAATGGGTGGTGGTGGACAACTCTGAACTTAACCAAAGGGCAGCCCCAATTGCAACTGCTACTGCAGATATGGTATCTTTTACTGAGGACAGAACAACATGGTATTGAGTGGTGAATTATTACATCTTGATATTCCATCAGTAGAGAGAATTGAAAGCAATTAAATGTTACCTGACAAAGGCAGTAGTACACACTAATAGTCTTGCCTGAGAGCTATGTTAATTTTCTTATTCTCTTTACAATTTATTCTGCAGGGACTTTGGTAATGTTGACATTTCATTAGACATTCCACTGGCGCAATGTACTAATTACATCATGCTAATTGGATCCAGTGAGTATGGAGTATCAAATATCCTAAACAATATAGAAAGAAAATGTGTGCCAGAGGTGGACAGATAAAATTAGCAGAGATTAAATGGTTATTCGAAATCTTGAAATCTTTAAAATTCAAATAGTCTGTAATATGGTGGGATATGCTTTCTATGATAAAGGATGAGTTTTTGCACCTTTCACATCCTATATTCATGAAAGAGGATCAGTGTTTGGTGAAGGTCTTTGGATTTTACAGACATTGTATATCACATTTAGGAGTGTAGCTAAGCCCCATTTACTGGGTGCCTCTGAAGGTGTTTGCTTTGAGACAGAGTCAGAAGCTCTGTAGTCACTCAAAGATGTGTGAAAAAGCACTTAGTCCACATTACTCAGCATATTTGATGGTGCTTTAAGTATGTATAGTGTATAAAGATGGTACAAAGAGTCACTGGAAAGGCCTGATTGGAGAGACGCAGCTTGGAATTCTACAATTCTAGAACATTTTAGAGCCAAGAATTTTTCTCTCTGGCACACGTCTCCTCATGTTTTCATAAACTTGCCCTAGTGAAGACAAGTGATTGAAAAGTGAACTGCATAGCGTATCTATCCGTTTGTAAAATTGTGCATCGTCAGCTACAAATTGTGTGATAGAAACTGTGCGCTAGAGTCCAGCTTTAAACAGATTCAGAATTATATCTAAAACTAAGACAATTCACTTGGGTATTTCTTCCTATTTCTGTTCTCAGGTATTAAAAGAACGAAACAAACAAAAAATAATTTTAGCAACTATTTTCAGCAACTAAAGCCTCAGATTATATAGAGATAGAGTCCTGGGAATATTCCATTCTCTGGCTGGACAGTACTGGTGGGGGGGGTAGATTTGACAATGAGAGACCAAAAAATGCGAGGTGCAAACAAATACATTGTTTACCCTTCCTCACCCATATGGACCATACCAAGATCCATTTGTTTTAAATGGTCTTTGAGGATATATCCAGCATGGCCAAGCAGTCCTGTATGTGTGTTGCAGAACTATGACCAAGTTTACTGAAACACTTTTCATTTTGTCTTATTCTTGTCTTTCTGAGACCACCACATCTTAATAAAATATTAGCACATAAGTTTTGACCTCGGCTCTGTTATTAAGAAAACTAGGTTAAGAGGGCTGCTCCTACTTTTTACTGAATTATAACTTTTCCTGAATTATCACATCCTTGAGATTAAGTTCATATCTTTATTTTATTATAAATTTTTGCAATCAGATATATGTGCATATATATGCATAACAGTTATATGCCAATGATAGAATTATAACATAATATTACTTCAGTGCCCAGTGCATTTTTCTTCTCTAAACTCATTCAATCACCATTAGGCTTTATTACTAGCCCAACATAAAACTATCAGGATTAACAAACAACACCATCAAAAAGTGGGCAAAGGATATGAACAGACACTTCTCAAAAGAAGACATTTATGCGGCCAACAAACATAAGAAAAAAAGTTCATCATCCTTGGTCATTAGAGAAATGAAAATCAAAACCACTATGAGAAAAAAATGCATCTTTTATTTTACTTTATGATTTTATTTTAAGAATTGCATTGGTCCTTTTTACGATATATGGCTTTTCTGATAAGTATTTCAAATCTAAAGCAGTTTTTCGCTAATACATCATTAAAAAGCAAAAATCTTACTATGCAGGCTGCCCAGCAGCAGGTCAGCTAAATGCTAGGTCTCAAATAGTAGATGGAAAACAAAAGGGCTTTGAAATACAAGGAGTTGAGATTTGGCAGGTGCTGACGAATCTGAACACCGGGATTCCAGGCCCATCCTTCCCTGCATGAGGAACAAGTCTTTCCTTCAATAAAGATCATGCCATGATTTTATCACAGTCAGTTTATTTGCAAGGAGAACTCTGTGTTCTTTAAGAACAATCACTAGGTCCAGAAAATTTAACAAAAGTTAAACTCCAACATGGTCCAGAGGAAAAAAAAAATGAATTTGGCTCCCAAAGAACATACATACACACCAAAGGAACAGTGAAATCGTTCCATGTTTATCAGCTAAGTTGGGGGAGTATTAGTGGAAAAGGATCCCAAAAGGGTTACAGGAATAAGGCTAATATAGAGTTAAACAGGGTGGTATCTATCGAATTGTGCATTGTAATTTCATATGTTAGCATAAATTCCTGAATCAAACAAATTGATTGATTGACTGATTGAAATCTGTGTTCAATACTAGCCTATGGTCATAAAGTTGAAGGGCTATACCATTCCTGTAATACTGAAGAATGAGTCTGAAAGATTAGATAAATGATGCATTGAAATGCTTCTATTGTATGCAACATGATCAGCCACTGGAACCGTACTACTTTGGGTATGTAGGGGATATATAATTTCAAAGAAATCAGTACCTAAATATAGAAAATTATAAGAACCATGAACAAAATATAATTAAGCAAAATAAAAAGACTATTTCTACCTGTGTTCTTATGTTCCATGTGTTGTACATTTCCTCACATCTTCGCAGCTATGCACTTCCTTTATCTATTATTATTTGGCTATTTCAGCCTCTTTCTTCCCCCAGTTTTCTTTCCCTCATACGATGAGTTCTGGAGCTGGCTAATGTTACAATTTATATTTTAGTGGCAGGATGACTTAATTGACATCATCCCACAGTAATATTATGATTTATTAAAATCTTGTCTTCCCTCTACTTAATACAAATTACTCACTTTGAGCAAAGGAAAAAAAATCGAAATGGCAAAAGTCATGACTGTGCCTTTTTTTGTTGTTGTTGTTGCCTTGTTTCACATTCATTCTCTATTCTTTGTGTCCTAATAGAAGGACCTCTACAGACTGCATCACTCAGGCTTCCATATAGATTGGCTTCCAGTTAGGTGAGCTAATTTGGAGCTACAGAGAGATCAGAGGAAAGGAGGAGGAATCGCCCTTATCCACCCTTCTTGCTGCGGGCAGCATTTTAAGATTGTGCCTATATCTACTGATCACTACGGCACCCCTTGGCCAGCCCTTCGTCCACAGCGCTAACTTTCACTGCGCTTCAGTAGCATGATTTCCTCCTGTTATCTTTTCCAGTGTAAGGCCAGGAAAGACATGTTAGACTCTGAATGTCTCAATGCCCTTTGTTATTTCCCTTAACCTGGCCCTTACTTCTGTAAATATTTCATAAAGACTCTTGAAAAATATGAGTAGAACTGTGTTTCCTAATGGGACTCTAACTGATAATATACCTACCATTTTCAGTAAGGTGTTTTTGGAATCATGCAGAAGGATGAGAGGCTGACAAGAACACAGCGATTGCATGGTCTACCCTTTGTAACCTTAACCCTGACCATGCAAGGTTTCTCATACTTTGAGCTCTTCAAAAGCATCTATATAAATCCAAGGCTTCTCCTTATAATTCTTGTTTTCTTTGAACCTGCTGAAGTTTAAATCCCTGCAGCAGTGCCAAGCAGGGGGGCTCCAAACAGACCTCTGCTGCTTTAATAAAAGGAAAAGAAAAAGGGGAGATAAAATAATGAAGTAAAGAGCCATGAGAAGTGACACAATTGTGATATTCTAGTATGTTTGTGGTGTAAAAAATAGTAATATAGAAAAAAGGAGTCACTAAAAACTTAGATTTTGTCATAAAAATGTGACCTTTTTAGATGTTATTTTATTTAAGCTATTATTTGCTTGCAGTATTTAAAGAAACGTTAGATTTATAGGTATATTTTCATTTGTTTTTAAGAATTTACATCTCAAATATAATAATGAGAACAACTCTGTGATTTAAATTTACACAATGCCAAATATAAAATAAAAATGTTCTAATCTCTGTAGGTACTAAAATCACAAGAACTGTAGGAGAATTGTATCATTATATAAAGTAATGGAAATCCTGGTCTTATTATTTTTAAAACTTTGATCTATCCAGCCAAATAGGTTAATAAAATAAGACACTCAGGGTGGATTTCTCTTCCCGTGAAAAGTCTAAAAACAGAATACAGTTGGACAATTCTGAACCATTATAAGATTAAAGAGCTGTCTGCAGCTTAAAGGCAAGTTTTATCCACATAAAGATCTACCAGGGTGGCAATGGATGCCTGGCTTGCCTTGTTAGTGACATTTCTTGAAATAAAGGATTATGATTAGAATGTCTTGGTTAAGTCCTGTTGGGAGAAGTGAATTTTCTGATAGTTTTTCTCACAAAAGCGAAACTAATGATCTCTCATTGAAATTGACCAATATAAAGAGTAAAAACAGAGCCACCCATAGAGTCTGCCTGCAAATGGATACCAGCTTTATGTGTTTGTGATGGACCATGCATTTGATACTGTTAAGACACAATGCTAGAACAAGTCTGTCTAAACCTAGACTGAATAATTTAATTATGCAATCTCATATCCTACCATAAAATTGTAATTTCAACTTCTAGCTTTTTTGTATTTTTCTGTATAATCACAAACTCATGACTTTAATAAACACATTTACTATATTTCTATATTTTTCTTCAGAATCATCACGAAGAAGTCCTATATGATATGAGCTTACTGATAGATCGCTGGTCAACCAATATTGTGATCTAAGGTAAAAAATATTTCCAATAAAATATTTTGTTATATACCTGCTGAATTTGAGTTTTATTTTTTATAAATCTATGCCTGACTCATGCTATGTTTTTAAATGTTATTGATCTATCTATATCCTACTTTATATATATATAAGCGTATATAACTATATATGTAAAATATATATAATATGTATATATCCTACATATCCTACACACACAGATATATATGTGTTTATGTATGTGTGTGTATATATATATGCGTGTGTGTGTGTATATATATATATACACACACACACACATACGCATATATATATATAAACATGCATATAGGCTGCTTAACACAGTGATTGAAATATATTGCTATTATTCAAAATCAGTGTTGAATCCCAAGAATTCTGAGTTTCTCGGAGAAAGGGAAAGAACCAGAAATCTCTTAAATTCTCAAAAGGCTACACACCAAATGTTCCCACTAATCATCTCACAGGATCTTCCCATTCTCTAGATTGCTTTATAGCTCTACTCTTCCTGACATCTTCTACCCCAGCACCTGGTTCCTCAAGTATCTGCTGTGCTGGAGTGCCAGTGCCTGCTGACAAGAGAAACAGAAAGAAGGCAGCGAAAGGATCATTTGTATTTACCTGTCCACTGTGGCATAGCATATCTACCTCTCCATTACTCTGACAGAAAGGTATGTACATTATTCACCCGAGGCAGACAGACAACTTGAAATATTAAAGGTCTGTTGCTTTTTTCTTCTGTACAATACTCCAAACTTGAAAGTTTGGAAAAATTCAGCAGATTGTAAATCAGTTATTTGGAGGACACAGCATCAAGTGAAAAAGTAAATGGACTGAGACATAGTTTTGCACCACAAAATGTCTTTTTATTCCCCATGCCTGGAATGAGATAAAGCTTGGTGACAATAAGTAGATAAAAGTAAAGAGGTTCTTTTTGTTTGTTTGTTACTTTAAGAAAGCAGAGGGAATGAACACAGTGTTTGGTTCCCATTCACTGGGTCCCAAACCTCTGCTTCCACATGCCAGAGGGTCAAGGTTTCTCCCAGGGGTCCAATGCCAAGTCATCCCTATACAATTGGAGAAGAAAGCTCGAGGGGGTGGCGTAGTAAGGCAGAGAGCTGAGACAGGTTTTACCTGTGCAAAGCTGGTTCCCACAGCAATGTCTGTATTAAAAGTGGGCCATGAGGACAAATGAGAGAAAGGCATAGAGGAGTTTCATATGCTTATCACATTCCAGCCATCCTGGACATCTCTAGTTTCATTAATGATAGAGTGCTACTTCCACAGTTTTGGCCTTTGCAATGGCTGTTCCTTGTGCTTGAATGCTTCCCCTGAATTTTAGATGAATAGATATTTATTAGTACTCAGATTTCAGCTTCAGAAAGTATCCTCTTGGCTGGGCATGGTGGCCCATGCCTGTAATCCCAGCACTTTGGGAGGCCGAGGCAGGCGGAACACTTGAGGTCAGGAGTTCGAGTCTAGCCTGGCCAACGTGGTGAAACCTCATCTCTACTAAAGATACAAAAATTAGCCAGGTGTTGTGGTGGGCACCTGTAATCCCAGCTTCTCGGGAGGCTGAGGCAGGAAAATTTCTTGAACCTGGGAGGTGGAGGCTTCAGTGAGACAAGATCATGCCACTGCACACCAGCCTGGGTGACAGAGTGACTCCATTTAAAAAAAAAACTGTTGTCATTGCTTTTGGTGTTTTAGTCATGAAGTATTTGTTCATGCCTATGTCCTGAATGGTATTTATGGTTTTAGGTCTTATGTTTAAGTCTTTAATCCATCTTGAGTGAATTTTTGTATAAGGTGTAAGGAAGGGGTCCAGTTTCAGTTTTCTGCATATGGCTAGCCAGTTTGCCCAACGTCATTTATTAAATAGGGAATCCTTTCCCCATTGCTTGTTTTTGTCAAGTTTGTCAAAGATCAGATAGTTGTAGATGTGTGGTGTTATTTCTTTGGCCTCTGTTCTGTTCCATTGGTTTACATATCTGTTTTGATACCAGTACCAGCTGTTTTGGTTACTGTAGCCTTGTAGTATAGTTTGAAGTCAGGTAGCATGATCCCTTTAGGTTTGTTCTTTTTGCTTAGGATTGTCTTGGCTATATGGGCTCTTTTTTGGTTCCATATACAATTTAAAGTATTTTTTTTCTAATTCTATGAAGAAGGTCAATGGTAGCTTGATTGGGGCAGCATTGAATCTATAAATTACTTTGGGCAGTATGGCCATTTTCACGATATTGATTCTTCCTATCCATGAGCATGGAATGTTTTTCGATTTGTTTGTGTCCTCTCTTATTTCCTTGAACAGTGGTTTGTAGTTCTCCTTGAAGAGGTCCTTCACAAATGGGATCTAATTAAACTAAAGAGCTTCTGCACAGCAAAAGAAACTATCATCAGAGTGAATAGGCAAGCTACAGAATGGGAGAAATTTTTTGCAATCTACCCATCTGACAAAGGGCTAATATCCAGAATCTACAAGGAACTTAAACAAATTTGCAAGAAAAAATAAACAACTCCAATCAAAAAGTGGGCAAAGGATATGAACAGACACTTCTCAAAAGAAGACATTTATGCAGCCAACAAACATGAAAAAAAGCTCATCACTACTGGTCATTAGAGAAATGCAAATCAAAACCGCAATGAGATACCATCTCACACCAGTTAGAATGGCGATCATTAAAAAGTCAGGAAACAACAGACGTTGGAGAGGATGTGGAGAAACAGGAACGCTTTTACACTGTTGCTGGGAGTGTAAAAAGTTCAACCATTGTGAAAGACAGTGTGGCAATTCTTCAAGTATCTAGAACCAGAAATACCATTTGACCCAGCAATCTCATTACCCAAAGGGTGATAAATCATTCTACTATAAAGGCACATGCACACATATCTTTTTTGGAGCACTTTTCACAACAGCAAAAACTTGGAAACAACCCAAATGCCCATCAATGATAGACTGGATAAAGAAAATGTGGCACATATACACCACGGAATACTATGCAGCCATAAAAAAGAATGAGTTCATGTCTTTTGCAGGGACATGGATGAAGCTGGAAACCATCATTCTCAGCAAACTAACAAAGGAACAGAAAACCAAACACTGCACGTTCTCACTCATAAGTAGGAGTTGAACAATGAGAACACATGGACACAGGCTGGGGAACATCACACACCAGGGGCCTGTTGAGGGGTGGGGGGCTAGGGGAGGGATAGCATTAGGAGAAATACCTAATGTAGATTATGGGTTGATGGGTGCAGCAAGCCACCATGGCACGTGTGTACCTGTGTAACAAACCTGCACGTTCTGCACGTGTATCCCAGAAATTAAAGTATAATAAAAAAAGAAGAAAGTATCCTCTTGCAACCCAGTGTAAGTATGTACATTTTGTATACAATATTGTTTCATTATTCAATATAACACTCATCTTAACTCTCTCTCTTTTTTTTTTTTTTTTTTTTTTTTTTTTTCAGACGAAGTCTAGCTCTGTCGCCCAGGCTGGAGTGCAGTGGTGCGATCTCAGCTCACTGCAAGCTATGCCTTCCTGGGTTCACGCCATTCTCCTGCCTCAGCCTCACTAGTAGCTGGTACTACAGGCGCCTGCCACCATGCCCAGCTAATTTTTTGTATTTTTAGTAGAGACCGGGTTTCACCGTGTTAGCCAGGACGGTCTCAATCTCCTGACCTCATGATCTGCCTGCTTCGGCCTCCCAAAGTGCTGGGATTACAGGCGTGAGCCACCGCGCCCGGCCAACTCTCTCTTAACTGAATGCTTAACATGAGCAATACCCTCACTATCTGGTTCATGATTCTATGCCCAGTATTAAAGTGATACCTAATACAGAATATTCACTCTATGAATGTTTTATGAATTGAATGCATAGATGAATGTGCTGCTAAGTATCAGGCAGATACATCTCTGAGAAAAGACTGTGGCCTTGTCAATAGTGAGGTTCTTAAAAGTGGCAACTTAAAAGTGGCAGAGATTGATGCCGCTTTTATATACCTGGTGAACTCTCAGGTGATCAGCAGCACTTTCTAAATCTGCGGGAAG
Organism: Homo sapiens; assembly: GCF_000001405.40. Classification (NCBI taxonomy): domain Eukaryota; kingdom Metazoa; phylum Chordata; class Mammalia; order Primates; family Hominidae; genus Homo; species Homo sapiens. Next base: position 85,254,762 of record NC_000013.11, read on the forward strand.
TTAGTAATCCTGTGAAGGCACGCAGTTTCACCCCTTCCTCGTATTCACGTATTGCTTATGATGAAAGGACTGGGGTTGTTATGTCAACATCAGGAACCAGGAGAAAGTAGAGAGGAAATATTGGATTAGCAAGCTGTGTCTCCTCTCATGAGTAATGTGTGGTTATAATTTAAATGAATATGACCTCTGTCTTGTATACTGATATGTAAGATTGTGTGCATTCGTGGTTTAAAATGGGACCTGGAGAAGTTTAAGGGCAAACTAAGAATTTTTTTTTAAATTGTGGTAAGTAAACAGCATGATATCTACCCTCAATAAATTCTAAAGAATATGATACAGTGCTGTTAACTGTAGGCATAATGTTGTACAGTAGATCTACAGAACTTAATGATTCTATATGTGATATTTTATATCAATTGAATAACAATTCTCCATGTCTCTCTACTCACAGGATCTCAAAGAGATGTCTGCATTACCATGTTCATTTCAGTCATTATTCACATGAATCAAGATGTAGAAATAATTTAAATGTCCACCTACAGCTGAACGGATAAAGAAAATGCTGTATATACATACAGTGGAATATTTTTTGGCCTTAAAAAAGGAAATCTTGCTGCTATAGACTGAATGTTTGTGTCATCCCAAAATCCATATGTTTGAACCCTAATCCCTAAGGTGATGGTGTTTGAAGATGGAGGCTTTGGAAGGTGATTAGATGATAAAGATGGTTCTCTTATAAGAGACAGGAAAGAGCTTGCTTCCTTTTCCTCTCTGCCATGTAGAGATACATCAAGATGGTAGACTGGGAAGAGGACCCTCACTAGAAACAAAACCAGCAAATACCTTGATCTTGGACTAGGTAGCCTTCAGAACTCTGAGAAATACATGCTGTTGTTTAAGCCATCCAGTTTATGGTATCTTATTATAGTAGCCCAAACTAACTAAAATAACTGCCGTTTGTTACAACATGAGTAAACCTGAAGGGCATTATGCTAAGCGAAACCAACCAGTCACAGGAGAACAAATATTGCATGAATTCACTTCTATGAGGTATCTAAAATAGTTGAGAGACAGTTTTTTATTTCCACTGTGACTGATTTATCCAAAGTAAATAGCGTTGAAATCATTTTGAAAATGTCTGGATTGGTTTAATTTATAAAGAAATAGTAAGCTAAGTGAAAATTATTGATAGATCACATACTTTTTGTTCAAATAAGACAGTAATATTATTGCACTTCTAATTTGAGAAACAAAACAACTTTCCAAATTTGTTTTTTCTTTTTTTTTTTTACTATGGATCTTAACTATTTGAGGGGGAAAAAGCAGCTTTATTCTTTGCAACAGATGCTTTGTTTTAATTTTAAGGCTGGGATTCTATCTTTAGACTCTGACACACTGGGGCAGGAAACAATTATCTGAAAATTGTTAAGATTACGGGAAAACAAAGTGGGGGTAGGTTGGCTTGAGTCAAATGTTCAAACAGGATTAAATGACTGAGTACACTAATCCTTCTGAATTTAGTAAAAATTTTATTTACCTGACTTCCTATAACTCCTCTTCAATGCCTAAATAATCCATAATTTCTGATCTTGGCTTCTGCATACCTTTCTCGGCTTCTCAGAAATCTTGCATAGGTCCTACTCCTGATCCCACTGCAGGTCCTAGTCATTTTCTTCATCCTGATGACACCTCATTCTGGAGTTCCAAAGGTTGTAAGAGTGTTCTCCTGTGTGGAGTACAAAATGGTAAGGTGGATAAAGGCATGGCTGCTGACAAGTGTGGTTTGAATTATACCCAGTTAACAAGTATTGAAACTGCACTGTATGTCATTCAAATATTTTGAAAAGGGTGTAATAAGTTGAAGGGATGGGTGTGTTTCATCTGTATAAACTTTAAAATTTAAAATTTAAAACACTGAGTAAAAATTTCAAAATAGCCAATTCCAACCTGAAGCATATTTCCTCAGATTATTTATAAAAATATGGCATAGATAGCTCCACGGCTCAAGAGACAGGTAGATAGGTAGGTGGATAGATAGATGATAGATAGATAGATAGATAGATAGATAGATAGATAGATAAGATAGATGAATAGATTAGATAAGGGCCCTGCAAACAAAATCTCTGCAGTCTAATATTTGATGGAAACAGTTGTACACACTTTCTCTACATTGAATGCCAACAGCCTGGCAAACAGCCTATTCATTCAGCTTTCTCAATACAATAATCAAAAAAGGAGGAAATTAGTTTCTGTAACAGAAATTAGCCAGAACAATTATTAAAGTAGATCTCCATAAACCAATACCTACAAGACATGATTACAAGGTAGTGTTAATGTTTATTCTCTACTAGCACATCACTATTATTTATAAGTAAATGGTTTTCAGTACTGTTATTTCTGTTACTTCTTGCTTATTTTTCTTATCAGGTATACGGCTAAATAAAAAATTTAACTCATTATATTTCAAAACATTTTATGCTAGAAAATAATAATTTACTTCCATTTTTATCGCTCTTTGCCTTGTTTATGTATCTTACTAATAGTGACTTTTTTAAAAGGCACACATTTACAGAAGACTTTGAATTTTTTTTGGCCATACCCCAATATTGAATAACACCTAACTTGAAAGTTTTTTAAATTGAAAATTACTATTCATGATAATGTCTCCAACTTTTGAATCAATGGTAGCAATAATAATTTTAGTGACAGAGCAGTGAATCCTTTCTTTTTGTTTGGATTTTAGCACACAACTAGGTCTAAGTAAACTTAGACATTTTAGATTTAAAAAAGTACATATAATTTGAGAAAAAAAAGAACATTCTGTATCAGGAAACATGGATTATGTCTTTCAGTACAACGTAGATTATTAAAAAATTCTGTATGCAAAATTATATGCAGAGGTTTAGTCATTCCTGCTATCACATATGAAGCTGAAGCTTTGGATTCTCCAATAATAAATTTCTACCTTGGAATTAATTTCATATTCTGCATTGGTGATTTTATAAGACAAATTGAATTTGTAAGAATTTAAAAAATAAAATTTGCATGCCAAGATTATTTAATCTAGGAGTTACTGAAGATATATTGAAAGTACATAAATCATTTTGTTGAAACAAAAGAACACCCAAAATAGTATATTTGGAGAAAATTTTAAAGTAAAAGCTCAAGCCATCAGCTAAATGATATAGAGACTGAAACAAAAAAATTTAATTGTCATTCATATAAAACTGATATGGGAATATGTATTGTGTCAATCTTAACAAGTTTATCTCATTTTGTGTTTTTGTCAATATTCAGATATTGACATATTCTGGTTGTAAACAGAGATAAACCTGAAAGATGATGGTGATAGTGAGAAGAAAAGATTGATGTGAGTAAAGCAAAAGCTGGAAAAAATACCAGAAATAGTATTTGAAATGATAAGTGTGGACACATTTGCCAAGGTAGGGTGCAGTCAGTAGAGAATCAGTCTAAAGAGATGTCCTTAGGGGCACTGACTTTGGTTAGGGAAGGGAGTAAGGTAAGGAAGCTCAAAGAGCTGAGAAGTCCTTATGAAGGCACAAGTAAACACATGGTTTTGGTCATGGAGGCCGAAGGAGATAATTTTAATATGCTGAGAAATAGAAATTTAATCGTTTCATATATATGAAAATGAGTCAATTTTAAATTTCCTTTCATTGCTTCCTTAGGTTTAAAGATAAATATAATATGTAATGGAAAAAATTGTTAGCTATGGCAGCTTTACAGGGTGGTAGTTGTTACAAATAAAAGTGTAGGTGTGTGTTTGGATATAAGTGTATGCATATATATATATGTATTTACATGTGTGTGCATGATATATGCATATATATTTCACCCAAGCATCTAGAACATAACTATTGAAGGATGTTACTTTTACAAGGATGATTTGGAAAACATCTAACATTTAATTTTCTAGGATGTTGGGTATTATATGCAACCCAGAATCACAGTGTTTCTCTCTGAGAAAAATGATGCTTTTATTCTGCTGGCCTCACTGACATACATTTGTACAAATCCAATATATCAATAGACAATTGTCAATAGACAATATCCAATATATCAATGTCCAATATGTCAATAGACAGTTATCCAGTGTAGACAATTGTCCAATAGACAATAGACTATATTGGATATATTGGATATTGTCTGTTGGACAATTGTCTATCAATATACTGGATATTGTCTAATAGCATTTTCAAAGAAAAGTATCATATAATTTAAACCAACAGAGGACAATAGACAATAGATAACATCCAATGTCTCAATAGACAATTGTCAATTGGCAATATCCAATATATGAATATCCAATATGTCAATAGACAGTCATAGGTGATACCAACTTCTCACCTAAAATTATCCTCATATATATTGCATCTTATTTCATATGAAAATTAAAATGTATTCATGTCCTCATATATGTGAAACGATTATTTCATATGATTGACCTGGATAAATTATTAAGTGTAAGTCCTTGTCTGTGTTAATCAAGATTATATTTTAAATTTATTCGCGCAAAAAGCAATTTACCAAAATTTCTTTAACTGAAAACATAAACTACATTTTACAAAATAATTTTAATTTTATTTAACATATGTTTGGTAGCATGATAGTAAAATGGGTGTTTTCTATTTTAGCACATGATAGAAAATTCATTTTTTAAACAATTGTGTACTGATTAGGTAAGAAGTCACTTATAATAGCTAATTACTAAAATAAGCACTGTTAAGACAGATTTGTTCTTTGCTTATGACTCAACTTCATCTGAAAATTAGAGGTTATAAATGATTGAGTATCTAAAAGAAGGCATATAAGTTGCAGTTTTAATGGTTTTAACATGTCTCATAAAACACTTTTCAGATTTCATGTAAACATTGCTGACATATTTACATGACTAGTAAAGAGAGTAATATATCATATTGAATTAATCAAGCTAATGTAGACAGCCAACATAATCAATTTTAAATCTGTTTTAGATTCAGTAATTTTCCAATAGCTTAAATAATAATTTTCTTAAGTTATTTTTACTTCATTCTTTATACAACAAAGCCTTGATAGATCCTTAAGATATCATTACTATTTCTAGATCTTTGGCATATAATAGGGATTTAGGGTATTCTTTGTAATATATCTATATTTGCACAGTTTTCTCCATACATTAGAATCCTAGTTTTAATTCCTAAACATGTTACTACATGCTAATTTCTGTCACTATTGTGATAAGCAGGGAGACAATGGAAGACTGTTAAATGTCAATAATTTTTAGCAAGGAAATATCTTTTCAAATAGGTAGGATATGTATCATCTATCAACAGAAAGTATCATATTTAAAGAAAAGTATCATAATTGAAACCCACAAACAAAGGTCAAAAAATTCAGCTAAGGTATTTAGTTTTACATTTGGCAGTTATTTTATAAGATTTTCCCATGATTATGTGTAAAATAATTCCAATATATTAACAAAGAAATCAATAAAAGAGTTACATGAAAACTGTTTTTGGAAAAGAATATATCTAATTGGTAAAAAGCCAAAGTATAAAACTGTATTTGATGATAAACTATCTCCATGTTCCCAATAAAAAAATCATTTTAATGTCTAATTGTTCAAACATTTCACAAATTTTATTAAGAATAATAGAAAAACAAAATTTTTGAATGAGTACCTCACAAATGATTTAATCCTTATATACATCGATAAAACAATGGCAAGAAAACAAGAATCTAAATCAGACATTCCAAGTTGTTTTCCACAAAAATAATCACCAATGTCAGGTATACAGGTAGGCAGCATAGGGCAGAAAGGTGCAAAGCCTTTTCTCACCACCATTAAGGTTCAAAGCCAGCACTCTTATAACAAAAGACGTATTAACAAAAGAAAAGCATATCAAATATATTTAATCAAAATTGTATGTGACATGAAAGATCAGAAATGAAGACTCAAAGACTCCAGGGAAAACTTTATACGTGGGATATAAAAAAGGGTCAGCCATGTAAAAATGGGGTTGCACCAAAGGGTATAATGTAATGATAATACACTGAGGTGAGAAATCCAGCAAGTCCTTTGTACAAAGATTCTTGTTGGTCTGCCTGTGTAGCATTACCTCTTCTCCACTTCCACTCCCCAGAAATGGGCAGTACCTCTCTGGAATTAGACTCTTAAAGGGAGAAGGAAGAGGGTGATCTCTTTACATTTTATGGCTTGCTTTCTGGGAGAGGAGTTCTAGTTTCTATGACCGGCCTTGGGGTATAAGAATTCTGGCTTCTAGGATTCTCTTTAGTGTGAGAAAGAGAGGTGTGAGACAGGAGGATGGGAGGAGGTCAGGAAGACCTTACTTCTAAGGCCCTTCTAATGTTTTTTACTACAAACTACTCAGCATGCCAAGATGCCATGCTGTGGGCTATCATGTTCTGAGCCACAGCAGCAGCAATGATATTTGTTGTTGCTGCTGCTCTGATTGCTACTGTCACTGTTTTCATTGCTTTTTGAAAAATAATTTTGCCATGGAAATCTGTTCATTAGACCTTTAGGAAATTAGTAAAGGACAAAACTAAAATCTTTAGAATCCTGACTATGTGTCAGTCTATTCCATTGTTGGTTTATTTACACATACTTTCATATTAACTTACTAATAATGACACAAAAGTAATGATACAAGAAAAATTTTACCCACTCCTGGTTGCAGAGGTAGATGAAATTTTCTGGGCTCTATTGCTGATACTCTTTATTTTCAAATAACAGTCTTGCTATTGTTATCTGATAATCTTGAATTAATGTTATCAATATTGCTACCACAAATAAAATGTTTACACTCATATTCAATAATCTAATCTTCATTTGTACTTTCTGCTTTTATTCCATTTGTTTCTTCTGTCCTCATCACTTCATTTATTCTACGAGGTTTCCCTTATATAAACACTGAAAATGTATAGACATTGTTAGCCAGCAGAAAGGTCTGCTTGCCAGCACAAACATCAAAGAAGTATTCCCTTTTATTCTCCTTTCTCTAGCACCAACTTCTTCTCAGAAAACAAAACAATTCATTATCTGTGGTACTTCTTGATTTCCCAACCTTTTCTCACTCTAACAAATAGTTGGTAATCAAAATTTAGATGCTATATGCAAACTCTTACTGTACACTTTTATTTTGTAATACATTAGTTCTCACATATGCAAAGCTGCCCCTAGTGGAAATTTTGTGGTAAGAGCTCATACCTGAAACCCCTGTGTTTGGAAACTATTATGGATTAGAGATAAAAAATATTTACCACAGCTGCTAATTCTCTGTGTGCGTGTGTTTTTTGTTTGTTTTGTTTTTCCTTCCCTCCTTCCTTCCTTCCTTCCTTCCTTTTCTTCACTTCCTCCCTCCCTTTCTCCCTTTCTCTCTCTCTTTCTCTTCTCTCCCTCCTTCCCTCCCTCTGTCTCTTCCTCTTTGATCTTTTAAAATATGATAAACTTTGGTTTGCTTTTATTCTGGAGACATCTATTTTCTCTCCTCTGTTTTACATTAACTGAATATATAAAGGAGAACAGGAAGAAATGATTTGAAGACACAATCTACTTTCCATTTCTGAAAATTAGAAATATCAGAGTTTAAATGGAGTTGTCTCCGCTCCCTCAAATTTAAACATTGATAAATATCCTAATCTGAAACTGATATAATTTTATAGAATTTATTTTGTTTTTACTAAAGATCTGCATATTTTTTCCAAGGATATTTTAGAAGGCAACGAATATTAAGTAAGAAAGAAAACTCTTTTCTGCTAACAAATCCATATTTTATGAAATATTTTCACTGCTTTCCAATCTTACAGTAAGCAATGGATTTATGTCCTGGTATACTTTGTGACTAAGATAAGCATGTGAAGCCACATTATTATGTAAACATCTAAAATATTTGCATTTTAGCAATAAATTTGCACTTAAGTCACATGCGAATGTGTACCAAGGAACCAATAACTTTTACTTTTTTTCTTTTGCATCAGGTTACTATCAACAGACATACATGTTTTAGTTAGTCTTCACTTTTATATGCTATATGCAAAAGTATTAACATGTACATCACATAATTGAGATGTTTCCTTTGAAATTTTGAAGGAAACATAGTTTGTATTATTTGTTTTCTAAAAAGCAGAACTCTTCAAACACTTTTAACTAGTGATTTTCATTTTTATTGCTGACAAAGCACAGGTTTATGAGCATTTATTAACATTTTAAAGAAAAGATTAAGTGTTCTGTCTTCTTGAAATATTAATCAAAGTAATTTGGCCCATTTCTATTCATGCAGCTGTAGTACCCTTTTCTTTAAATGAACTTACAGTTATGAAAGAAACTTTATCCTTTTATTTCACAAACAAGACCAACTCCCAACCACTTTGACCCTCAAGAACAGCCCAGTTAGAAACTCAGCTCTACTCTGTAAGTCTCAATGGCTGAGATATTGCCAATATCGCTCATCTCATCCTCCATGCCAACTTAAGCACTAGTCTTAATAAATTATTTCTAGTCCCTGGAACACTATTTTTACCCTATATTTCTTTGAGTTTTGAAAAATTTTTGTCCTCTCTCTGGAAAAGCCAATTGCCAATAAGGAAAATTAGTATTTACTATTCAGTTTTTTCCTTGGACTTCAGGTCCTCTCTGAAATCTTCTGAAGCTTATTCTACAGTCTATGGGTAGACATCTTTTGTTTTACTTTGCACTATTTTATTCTATTATCATGGGATCATGGGATATAACCACACGGATTTTGAACTACCTATTTAAATACTCTATTGTAAATAATGCATGCTTGTGAGGTAGGAGGTGGGACTCAAACTAGATTGAGGACTAGTTAAATCAGGGAAGAGGGGAAAGCACCTCTCTGTAAGATATGCCCGCCAGTTTGTCATGGCAATTTTCCATAGCATGGCAACACTTGGAAGTTACTACCTCTTTCCATACCAATAACTCAACAACCTGGAAGATATCACATTTTTCCTAGAAATTTCTGCATAATCTGCTCATCAATTTGCATGAAATTAAAAATGGTATAAATATGACTACAGAACTGCCTTTGAGCTGCTACTCTGGGCACACTACCTATGGGGTAGCCCTGCTCCACAAGGAGCAGTACCTTCACTGCTGCTGTACACTGCTGCTTCAACAAAAGTTGCTAAGACCAACAGCTTGTCATAGAAATCTTTCCTGAGTGAAGCCAAGAACTATTCTGAGCTAAGCCCCAATTTTTGGGCTCCCATGCCCTGAATCATATATATATATATACATACACACACACACACACACACACACACACACACACACACACAAACATACACACACACACACACATACATATATATTGGCATTATATAGTGCTATTTATGATACATATATTCACATATACACATATATGCAATGCTATTTATGATACATATATATGTTTGTGTGTGTGTGTGTATATATATATATATATGTTTATAATTGCCTTTGCTCTTTTTGAGACATGAGATGAGGTCCTCCAAAGAGTGGGTGTTTAATGTATGCATGTAGAAATATACTAACTATTGAAATGCAAAAAATTCTGCTTTAAAACAGGAAGTATATAAAACTCAGTGGTGCTTTAGGGCATTATTTGATTCCTGTTGAACCAAGTAATCATACATGATGCTCACACATTTTTGTACCACTAAGAAAAATGTATTCTATGTAACTCCACATAATACAATAATTCTCATATTCTTTTATTTGTTGGAGCTACCTCCTCATTTTATTTTGCCTATACCTTCTATTAATAATGTCTCTATCTTCAATATGCCACAGTCATATACCTTTTCCTGACAGTTCTAGTGCTGGCAGATTTTGTCTTTATGCTTTCCCTGCCAATTATCTTTGCAGCAGAACAACTACGATCTCTGTTGAGTTGGTTCTTTGTCAAATAATCTGTACTGCAAGGACTTTAGATACCTATAACTTAAAGATTTCCTCAAATATGTAACAAAAGCCAGAAGTGTGGAGATCTTCAATCCCCTATGCTGGTGAGCTATGTATGGAGAGAGAGAGAACAGGAGATTTCTTTGTTTTTTCTCAAGAGGGATGGCTGCTTATGTTTTCCATTTCTTATCCTGTAGACAATTTTACAATTCAAGAGAATAGTAATTCACATTGCCTTTCTGTTTCTATACATTTGCAGGTGAAGCTATTTCTGTAGCAGAGTTCTCTGAGGGGATCACATTTGCTGCTACCATGAGCCAACATTTTCCAAGTTTTTTCCATAAGACCTTTTTCCAAGGTGTTAAGGTGAGTGATTCCAAATAAGCACTAACAGGAAGAGTTCGTGGATTGTGAGAATATTTTTTTAAAACTAAGCCCAATACAATGTTTTTTGTCTCCTGAGTGAAAGAATATCTAGAAGGAAATAATATAAATTTTATTCAATCCATATAGAAATATAATTAAAATATGTGAAAACAGAATGGCATGTGTTTTTTTTTTGCTTGTTTTTAATCTATCCTTACCATAGTAGAATATTTCACTGTGATTTCTAATTCTGATTCTTAAAACTATCATTCCATAGGTTGTAACTCTGTTGTAACATTACTATCATTCTCCTTACTCACCAAACCCTTTATATTACCTGATTAGCAAGATGAGGCAGGTTAAAATTCCCCAGTGACATATCGTGTATATATCACTATTGATGTAGTGGTTATTGAACTATTATGAAGTATCATGTTATAAATTCTTAAAATCTATCCATCAAAAGAGATCATGATCCTGGATTGATCTGGATTATAGCTACTTCTATTACTCTATGCCAAGAGCACTATTTATATACACGATACGTCACTGAGGAATTTTAACCTGCCTCATCTTGCTAATCAGGTAATATAATCAGGCCAGCTCTATTACTTTAATTCATTTTGCTCTTATCAAAAAATGACAGAACATAGGTTGACCGGGGAGCTTAATCTCCTATATGAGTTTGCTGAATAATACAGACTGCATGGGTTACATTTGGGTTATGTGCTTTCTGATTTCACTGCTATGGTACGATTAATCACTATGTAGCTACATTTTACAACGTTGAAAATAATAAGAAACTGATATATGGATCCTGAAAAGTGGCAGATAGGAGGCAGGACTTACTTGCATCTCCCACTCAGATGGACAGAACTGTGTGTGGAGATTCACATTGTGAGCTTTTGCTCTAAGAGCTACTGCAGGAACATACCAAGAAAACGGAAAGAATGCACAGACCCTTTGAAAGAAGTGGCTTGCTGCTGCAAACTCTGAGAAACAGCAGAAACACGGGGAGTGCCCAAAGCGTGAGGTGGGGAAAGTCTGCCTCCCAACATACATCCTCTCTGGGGAGCCTAAAAATCCAGATCACAGGAGAAGGATTTAACCTTACCTAGAGGTGACATGAATTTAGATAGCTGTGCAAAATATAAAAGTAGAAGAAACAGCAGGACGAGCCCTATAGGCACTCCCAGTCCTCATGGAAGCCCAGGGAACCTGTTTCTGACTTGATCTCGCAGGGGTCCTTGCGGAGGGCTGCCAGTGAAACTGGGGAAAGACCACAGGGAGAAGGAAACTTCCAGAGGAAATTTGTAATAATTTTGACTGAGTGTAAATTTTCCAGGGCAGAATCCGGGAGTGGGGAGTGAACAGGAAGTGCAGATGGGAGCACAGAAGCTGCAGTGGAGAGGGAGGAAGCCTGAGAGCCCTGCTTGCTTTCTCAGCAGGGAGGCTTGTGGCCTGGGGCAAGTTCCCATCCCTGCTCATCATCACCTTCCTGGATATAAACTGGGTGCTGTTGGGGAAGCACAGCAGGAGTGAGACTGGCCTTTCTGGCTGCATGGAAGCTGGGTGAGGCCTGTCACTGCCAGCTTTCCCCCACTTCCCTGATGACCTGTATGATGCAGCAGAGGCAGCCATAATGCCCCTGGGAATATAACTTTATTATCCTGAGAAACACACCCCCATCCTCCACAGTGTCCACAGCACGCTCTGCCCAAGGAAGAGTCTCAGCTCAGACACATCTAGTCTAGTCCTACCCCCAACTCGTGGTCTTTCTCTACCTGCCCTGGTAGCCAAAGAAAAAAGACATAGTCTCTTGGGAGCTCTATAGCCCTGCCCACTGCCTGAGAAACCTGAGGACTTACCCAAGCAACCCTAGTGCAAGCTTGTATCCTCCCTATACTACTGTGGCTGATCCTCTCCTGAAAGCACCAGCACCATCTCCTGGCTAGAGGCCAACCAATACAAACCTTTACAGCAACTAATAAAAGAACAACCCTGTCCCAAGAAAGAAGAAAACAACAGCTAATTCCACCGCCTGTAACATCCTGGCTAACCAGAGGTCCTGAGTCTGTCCATGGAAGAATTTTACTGCTAGCACAGCCAGTAATTGAGAAAACCAGCACACTAAGCTAAATTACAACCAAGGTCCCACACAGAGTCTGCTCCCCTGCTACCTCCACCAGAGCAGGTGCTAATGTCCATGGCTAAGAGACTTGAAGACAGATCATGTCACAGGACTCTTTGTAGACACTCCCTAGTACCAGCCTGGCACCTGGTAGTTCCACTGGATGGCTAGACTCAGAAGAGAAATAACAATTACTGCAGTTCAGTTCTCAGGAAGCCCTATCCCTAGGGGAAGAGGGAGAGCACCACATTGAGGGAGTACCCTGTGGGACAAAAGAATCTAAACAGCAGCCCCTGAGCCCCAGATCTTTCCGCTGACGTAGTCTACCCAAATGAGAAGAAACCAGATAAACAATTCTGGTAATATGACAAAGCTAGGTTCTTTAACACCCCTGAAAGATCACACTAGCTCACCAGCAATGGATCCAAGCCAAGGAGAAATCTCTGAATTGCCAGAAAAAGAATTCAGAAGGCTGATTAGTAAGTTCATCATGGAGGCACCAGAGAAAGATGAATAAAAACTTAAAGAAATTTTTTTTAAATGTCACAGGATATGGATGGAAACATTTAAAGAGAAATAAATAGTATAGATAAAAAAAATCAACTTCTGGAAAAGAAAGACACACTTAGAGAAATGCAAAATACACTGGAAAGTGTCAACAATAGAATTAAACAAGTGGAAGGAAGAACTTCAGAGCTTCAAGACAAGGCTTTCAAATTAACACAATGCAACAAAGACAAAGAAGAAAGAATTTTAAAAAATGAACAAAGCCTCCGAGAAGTCTGGGATTATGTTAAATGATCAGACCTAAAAATAATTGGTGATCCCAATGAAGAAGAGAAATATAAACATTTAAAAAACATATTTGAGGGAATAATTGAGGAAAACTTCCCTGGTTTTGGTAGAGATCTAGACATCCAAATATAAGAAACTCAAAAAATACCCAGGAAACTATTGCAAAAAGATAATCACCTATGCACATAGTCATCACGTTATTCAAAATCAAGATGAAGGAAATATTCTTAAGAGCTGTGAGGCAAAAGCATCAGATAACCTATAAAAGAAAACCTATCAGATTAACAGCAGATTTCTCAGCAGAAACCCTACAAGCTAGAAGGGATTAGAGTCCTATCTTTAGCCTCCTTAATCAAAACAATTATCATTCAAGAAATTAGTATTCAGAAAAATCAAGCTTCATAAATGAAGAAAAGATATAGTCTTTTTCCGACAAACAAATGCTGAGAGAATTTGCCACTACCAAGCCAGCATTATAAGAACTGCTAAAAGGAATTCTAAGTATTGAAACAAAACCTCAATATACACTTATGCAGAATGTTCTTAGAGCATAAATCTCATGGGACCTATAAAACAACACAATGAAAAAAAAAAAAAAACTCAAGGTATTCAGGTAACAACTATCATGAATAGAATAATACCTCACATCTCAATACTAATGCTGAATGTAAATGGCCTAAATGCTCCACTTAAAAGATACTGAATGGCAAAATTGATAAGAATTCAACAACCAAGAATCTGTTGTCTTCAAGGGACTTACCTAACACACAAGGAATCATAAACTTAAAGGGGTGGAAAAAGGTGTTCCATGCAAATGGACATCAAAATGAGCAGGAGTAGCTATTCTTATATCAGACAAAACAGACTTTAAAGCAACAACAGTTAAAAGACAAAGAGGGGCATTATATAATGATAAATCGTCTTGTCTAATCCAACAGGAAAATAGCACAATCCTAAATATATATGTACCTATCACTAGAGCTTCCAAATTTACAAAACAATTACTACTAGACCTAAGAAATGAGGTAGACGGCAACACATTAATAGTGGGGGACTTCAATACTCTACTGACAGCACCAGACAGCTCACCAAGACAGAAAGTCAACAAAGAAACAACGGGCTTAAACTACACTGTAGAGCAAATAAACTTGACAGATATTTACAGAATATTCTACCCAACAACTGCAGAATATACATTCTATTCAACAGTGCATGAACATTCTTCAAGATAGATCATATGATAGGCCACAAAACAAGTCTCGATACATTTAATAAAATTGAGGCTGGGCACAATGGCTCATGCCTATAATCCCAGCACATTGGGAGGCTGAGGTGGCGGACTACCTGAGATCAGGAGTTCGAGACCAGCCTGGCCAACATAGCAAAACCCTGACTCTACTAAAAATACAAAAATTAGCTGGGCATGGTGGCACACATCTGTAATCTCGGCTACTTGGGAGGCTGAGGCAGGAGAATAACTTGAACCCGGGAGGTGGATGTTGCTGTGACCCAAGATCATGTCATTGCACTCCAGACTGGGTGACAGAGTGAGACTCCATCTTAAAAAAAAAAAAAATGAAATAAAAAACGAAATTATATCAAATACTCTCTCAGACCATAGTGAAATAAAATTGGAAATAAACTCCAAAACAATGCAAATACATGAGAATTAAATAATCTGCTCCTAAATGATCATTGTGTCATTAATGAAATCAAGATAGAAATTTAAAAAATTATTTGACTCAAAGTTGATAGTGACACAACCAACCAAAACCTCTGGGATAAAGCAAAAATGGTACTAAGAGAAAGTTCATAGCATTAAATGCCTACATCAAAAAGTCTGAAAGAACACAAGTAGGCAATCTAAGGTCATACCTCAAGGAACTAGAGAAGCAAGAACAAACCAAACCTAAACCCAGCAGAATAAAAGAAATAACATAGATCAGAGCAGAACTAAATGAAATTAAAGCAAACAAACAAAAATGAAAGATAAATTAAACAAAAAGCTGGTTTTTTGGAAAAGATAAAATTGATAGACTATTAGTGAAATTAACCAAGAAAAGAAGAAAGAAGGTACAAATAAGTTAATTAGAAATGAAATGGAAGATATTACAACTGATACCATGGAAATACAAAACATCATTCAAGGCTAATATGAACACCTTGATGCACACAAACTAGAAAACCTAGAGGAGATGAATAAATTAATAGAAATATAAAACCCTCTTAGATTAAACCAGGAAGAAATAGAAACTCTGAACAGACCAATAACAAGCAGGAAGATTGAAATGATAATTTTAAAATTGCCAACAAAAGAAAGTTCAAGGCCAGATGGATTTACACCTGAATTCTATCAGACATTAAAAGAAGAATTGGTATGTAGCCTATTGACACTGATTCTGGTGATAGAGAAAGAATCCTCCCTTAATCATTCTATGAAGCCATTATCACCATAATACCAAACTGGGAAAAGACATAGCAAAAAAGAAAACTACAGACAAATATCCTTGATGAACATAGATGCAAAAATCCTCAACAAAATATTGGCTAACTGAATTCAACAGCATATCCAAAAGATAATCTACCATAATCAAGTGGGTTTCATGCCAGGGATGTAGGAATTTTTTAACATATACAAGTCAATAAATGTGATATACCACATAAACAGAATTAAAAACAAAAATCACATGATCACCTCAATAGATGCAGAAAAAGCATCTGACAAAATCCAGCATCCCTTTATGACTAAAACCCTCAGCAAAATTGGCATAGAAGGGACATATCTTAAAAAAATAAAAGCCATCTATGATAAACCCATAGCCAACATTATACTGAATGGGGAAAAATTGAAGGCATTTCCCCGAGACTGGAGCAGGACAAGGATGTTCACTTTTACCACTTGTGTTCAAGATAGTATGGAAGTTCTATCCAGAGCAATAAGAAAAGAGAAAGAAATAAAAGGCATCCAAACTGGTAAAGAGGAAATCAAACTGTCACTCTTCATTGATGATATATGATTGTATACATAGAAAATGCTAAAGACTAATCCAAATAGCTCCTAGAACTGATAAATTAATTCAGTAAAGTTTCAGGACCCAAAATGATTGTACACAAATCAGTAGCACTGCTATACACCAACAGTGATCAAGTCGAGAATCAAATCAAGAACTCAACCCCTCTACGGTAGTTGCAATAATAATAATAAAAATAAAATATTGGGGAATATACTTAATCAAGGAGGTGAAAGACCTCTACAAGGAAAACTAGAAAACATTGCTGAAGGAAATCATAGATGACATAAACAAATGGAAATACATCCCATGTTCATATATGGGTAGAATCAATATTGTGAAAATGGCCATACTGTCAAAAGCAAACTACAAATTCAATGCAATTCCCATGAAAATGTCATCATCAATCTTCATAGAACTAGAAAAAAAAATCCTAAAATTCATATGGAAGAAAAAAAAGTAAAGCAAACCTAAGCAAAAAGAACAAATCTGGAGGCATCACGTTACTTGACTTCAAACTATACTACAAGGCTATGGTCACCAAAACAGCATGATACTTGTGTAAATGTAGGCACATAGACCAATGGAATGGAATAGAGAACACAGAAATAAAGCCAAATACTTACAGCCAATTGGTTTTGGACAAAACAAACAAAAACGTAAAGTGGGAAAAAGACACCCTATTTAACAAATGGTGCTGGGATAATTGGCAAGCCACATACTGAAGAATGAAACAGGATCCACATCTCTCACCTTATATAAGAATCAATTCAAGATGGATCAAATATTTAAATCTAAGACCTGAAACTATAAAAATTCTAGAGGATATCATCAGAGAAACCCCGCTAGACATTGGCTTATGCAAAGACTTCACGACCAAGAACCCAAAAGCAAAAGTAGCAAAAACAAAAATAAATAGATGGGACTTAATTAAACTAAAAAGCTTCTGCACAGCAAAATAAATAATCAGCAAAGAAAATAGACAACCCACAGAGTGGGAGAAAATACTCACAAACTATGCATCCAACAAAGGACTAATATCCAGAGTCTGTAAGGAACTCAAACAAATTAGCAAGAAATAAACTAACAATCTCATCAAAAAGGGGGCTAAGCACATGAAGAGACAATTCACAAAAGATACACAAATGGCCAGCAAACATATGAACAAATGCTCAGCATCACTAATTATAAGGAAAATGCAAATCAAAACCACAATGTGATACCACCTTACTCCTGCAAGAATGACCATAATTAAAAAATCAAAAAATAATTGATGGTGGCATGGATATGGTGAAAAGAGAACATGTTTACACTGCTGGTGGGAATGTAAACTACTACGACTACTATAGGAAACAGTGTGGAGATTCCTTAAAGAACTAAAAGTAGATCTACCATTTGATCCAGCATTCCCACTATTGGGTATCTACCCAGAGGAAAAGGAGTCATTATACAAAAAACAAACAAACAACAACAACAAAAAAACACTTTCACACGCATGTTTATAGCAGCACAATTTGCAATTGCAAAAATAGCCAGCCCAAATGCCCATCAATTGAGTGGATAAAGAAAATGATCTCTCTCTCTCTCTCTCTCTCTATATATATATATGCCATAGAAAGTATCTATCTATCTACATGCACACACACGCACACACACACACAAAAATACACATGGAAATACTACTCAGCCATAAAAAGGAATGAAATAATGGCATGTGCGCAACCTGAATGTAACTGGAGACCATTATTCTTTTTTTTTTTTTGAGACTGAGTCTCGCTCTGTCTCCCAGGCTGGAGTGCAGCGGCGCGATCTCGGCTCACTGCAAGCTCCGCCTCCTGGGTTCCCGCCATTCTCCTGCCTCAGCCTCCAGAGTAGCTGGGACTACAGGCGCCCGCCACCACGCCCGGCTAATTTTTTTTGTATTTTTTAGTAGAGACAGGGTTTCACCGTGTTCGCCAGGATGAACTGGAGACCATTATTCTGTGTGAAGTAAGTCAGTAATGGAAAACCAAACATCGTATATTGTCACTTATACGTGGGAGCTAAGCTATGAGAATGCAAAGACATAAGAATGACACAATGGACTTTGACGACTCAGAGGGAAGAGTGGGAGGGGGCCAAGGGATAAAAGACTACACATTGGGTACAGTGTACACTGCTTGGGTAACGGGTGCACCAAAATCTCAGAAATAATCACTAAAGTACTTAACCAGGTAACTAAACACCATCTGTTACCCCCAAAAAATAGAAAAAAAAGAATCTATATATGAATACACACACACACACACATAAGCACACAAGTCTCACATGGTACATCAAAATCTTAATAGTGTTTATTTTTGGATAGTAATAACAAATTACTTATAACAATTTTTCCTTTGTTTATCTGTACTGATCGATTTTCAAAAATATGCATGTATTATTTGTGCTATAAATAATATAATTATGAAATAAAAGCTTTAAAAATAAATCAAAAACAATTTCAGTCTCACAAGGAAAAGGTATAAATATGAAAAACTTCGATAATAGATATACAACATATTTTTTGCTTTCTATTTTACCTGTTACAAAAGGAAAATGTAGAAAAGGATATTTTAGTAGAATTTCTATATAAATCATAAAAATTAGTTAAGTTTTGATAATCCACTTTCATAACTAGGTCAAAATATCACTGATTTCAAGTCCTGGCTCTTCACATAGCAGCAGAAGTTATCCCCTGGGAAAAAAGTCAATCTTGTTTCTCTTCTGGTAGAAATTTATTCATAGCTATCTTTTGTATCTTAATTAGAAAGTAAACTACTTTGTATGGCCTATAAAATGTTTTATAATCCTCACTTTTTCTGTTGACACAAGCACTGTCTTCTACCAATAGCCTTGTCTTAGCAGGAATCATTCTATGTCTCTTTTGTAAAACTCCTCCTTCCACCTTTGATACCTGATCATCCTTGATATCTGCTCATATTTCTTCATCCCACCCTTGATGTATATGTCCTTTGCCTGCCTATCTCAAGAATCTTGTTGGGTCAGTTTAGTAAGAATTGTCCTACCCTTGATGTCCCCTCTTAGTAATTTTCCATCCACTGACCCCATTGCATTGCTCCCTGGCTTCAGATCCCCAGCGATCTTTACTTTAGATTAAGTTTGAATTGAGCCCAATCCCTCAAAGTTCTTCTTGCCAATTTTAAGAAGTGTCAGAATATTTTTTTCTTTAACACCATGTACCCATTTTCTGCCTATTTCATTATTCTTCTCACGCCATATATTCTAGCTATACTACTAGATGTAACTTTCTCTAACATACATCAGTGTTGTCATTTGAGATATGGTGAACATGCTGATTCCCCTTGTGTTACTTTCTGACCCATTCTTCTGGTGACAAGGTTCTTCTTAAAATTGGCCTTTCACCTTCAAAGTCTGTTAATTAGAGTCATTTTCAGACAATCCTTTATAAACTCCATCCCAAGCCTCCTGTCAGTCCTACATATTGTTTTTATTTCTGTGTCTGATTTTTGCTTGCTTTGATCACAACATTAATAACAGCGTTTTGCTAATGGGTCTTTTTCACTGTGGATATCATTCACTGTGATATTCATAAAGTATATTGTCCAGTAGATAGCATATTTCAGATTACACAGCTAGTGATTAATAGATACTGTCAAGAAATCTAACAGGACTCAGATTTTATCCTGCTTGAAGCCTAACAAGTTAATACGCCCCAGTTTCATGGATGCTAGCATAAGACAAAGACTCTGGAGGTAGAGCAAAGGACATCATTGCAGCAGAGCACAGCAAATATCATGCACCTCCTATTCTTATCAGTTCCCCTTATTCCCCAAGAACCATAGGGGAAAGATACATGGTAAGCCCAGATGGCATTCCCAGATGCACCCAGATTGTATATAAAGTGTACTTCCTTGACAGAGAGAAATAATTATCTTCGAGAATGCAAGTCTTCTAGGTTGGACATTTTAACTGTGCACTTGGCTAGTTTATTTTGAAGATATATCTTATTTTATTACACATATGAGGTTTTTGCTAGAAATGATATATTATTATAAAAATTTTTTAGAATCTGTGAAAATTTGAGTGAAGGAACAATCTGGTTTTCCCTCATGTTTTATCTGGAAAGACTTAAAACACACCAAGGCCAAATTGGAAACTAAGTCGAATGGTTAAGATACCATATTATAAATATGGAGATCTTAAATAGAAAATTAAATAAGCTGTTAAGGTACTGGTAATCAATGGGTGTTTAAGACCTCGGAAATTATTTTAAGTATATGATTTTATAATCAAATGTTTCTTGAAGAATAAAAGGACCTCCATCTTTAATGTTTTTCTGTCTCTTACATATGGGTATAATCCTGTCTGTTTTTACATTCATTATTGAGACTTCTTAATTTATTCAGTATGAACACACATTTTATTTAGTACCATAATATATTTTTTAAGTAATGTGTTTTTAGTTTAGTCATGTTAAAATATTATTGAGTATATTTTAAACAATGGTTTTTTATATGATTTTGAAATATTGACAGCAGTATAAAATTAATTTTTTAAGTATGTGTTCTATGGAGGAAAAAATACAGGATAAAAGCAATTTCACATTTTCAATAAGTGCTTTTATTTCTTATTTATTTCTAATAAAATAAAGCATAAAATAAATCTTATACTTCTGAAAAAGTAACTTTCTAAACACATTATCAAGGTAAAAACATAAAATAGTTTAGTAAAGGATTCTTTTTTATTTTTCAGATTTGTTAAATATATAAACCATATGATTAGAGTGTAAATTCTTCGTTATAATTTCATAAACACATGTCTAAAAATGATTTACATCAATTTCTCATTATTCATAGAATTAAAATTGTAGCAATAATTAAAAAGTAAAAACTAAACAAACAATAGGACCAATAACAATAAAGCAATATTCTCTCTTACTCTGATACCAGTCTGATGAACATTACCTGCAGATTTTGAATGAAAAAACAATAGCTGGGAAAGTATATGATTTGATGAAAAAAATATTTTTTAAAAGAGAGTAGCTCAGAATCAGTACTTTGTAGGTATAGTATACTCCATACCATCATCTTTCTATCAAAATTATATTCTAAATAGATGAGTCTGCAATGCTTGAAAAAGCTGTCAGTATTTTACTATCTGAGACATAAAATCTCATCAAGTTCTAAAGGAAGACAGTATAATTTAGCTACTTGCAATGTATCACCCCTATTATACAATATGCATTTAAAAAATACTGGACATCTACTGAAGGAGGATAACATAATGCATAGCTTTATTTTTTAACTGTCAACAAATTCAATATGAGCCAGATGTTGGAAACAGCAGATAAAAATGCTAAGATGTCTATTGTAAATATATTCATGATCCTAAAGCAAAAGCTTGACCTAAAATGAACATTTGGAAAATCATGGCAGAGAAATAGAAACCAAATGTAAATTATAGAACTAAACATGTAAAATTTCACTGGATCAACATTAACACAAAGTAAAGGTGGCACAAAAAGTAGTCAGTGACATTGAAGAGATAGCAAGATCAGTAATTTACACTAAAGAACATAGAGTTAAAAACAAATAAACAAAAAACCGGTTTTTAAAAATAAAAAGAATAAATAAGCAGAGCAGTGCCCTATTGGATAAAAATTAATAGGTATATTGCTTATATAATTGGAGTCTCTGAAAGAGATATAAATAATTAGGATTTCAGCCAGGCGTGGTGGCTCACGCCTGTAATCCCAGCACTTTGGGAGGCCGAGGCGGGCATATCAGGAGGTCAGAAGATCGAGACCATCCTGGCTAACACGGTGAAACCCCGTCTCTACTAAGAATACAAAAAATTAGCCAGGTGTGGTGGTCGGCGCCTGTAGTCCCAGCTACTCGGGAGACTGAGGCAGGAGAATGGCGTGAACCCGGGAGGCGGAGCTTGCAGGGAGCCGAGTTTGCGCCACTGCACTCCAGCCTGGGCGACAGAGCGAGACTCCGTCTCAAATAAACAAACAAACAAACAAACAAATTAGGATTTCAACAATTTAGTGTAAAGTTTAGATCATCAACATACAGATTCATCTAGATCAGAAAACTTCAGGATTTATGTAAGTAACAGCATATCTAGAAACTGCAGTGGCAAACTGGTAAAAAAAAAAATATAAAAGTAAAATATTAGACCCAAAAAGGGAAAGATAAATTACTTAGAAAGATGTAAGAGATGACTGATTCTTGATTAAGAATAATGGAGGTCAGAGTAGACAGTAAAATAAATTTCAAAAAACCTGAAACTACCATTATAACTTTAAACAAATAATTTCTGATAAAGTGAGAATATTCTTTAAAAATGGGTGTAATAAAGACTTTGTGATAACCACATGCTGAGAAAATATGCCACCAGTAGAACTGCATTATTAAAAATTGCTAAAGAAGCCTCTTTAGGTGAAAAGGAGCTGACACCAAATGGAAACTCAAATCTTCAGGATGACATAAAGAAAAACATAAATGTAAATACAGTTAATAACAACTTTCAAAATCATTACTTATACAGATTCCACTATATGATAACAATTGCAAAAAAGGGTGGTGCTTGGTAAAAGGCATTTTAATATTGTAAGTTTAATTTTTCAGGAAGTGGCATAATAATAATCCTACTTTGATAAAGTATGCATATTATAATACATGGAACAACAACTGTAAAAATCAATGTTGTAGTAAAAACGTAAATAATTGCATGTGAAGATTTTGACACGTACAGATAGCATACATTACTCCAAAAGAATGCTTTTAGAAAATCATTTTCTCCTTTAAGTTAATGTAAGTTCTCTCAAATTATCTGCTTTTGAATAAATATGTAACTATGCAGAGAGATACTCTGCCCACCAAAGGAATGCCATTCATCAGTTAGCTGCTGATTAGAGTGAGTAAGAGATATACTATTTGACAAAGCATGTTGATTTTATGACATCATTGAATCCCACCATGCAGCCAGTATGGTAACTAATGACTTTGATAAAGTGTTAAAGGAAAAAAAAAAGATTGAAGAGATTTGAATGAGTTGATTTTGGACCCAGGGCAGTAAAACAAACTTAAAAAAAAATTCCTCAATTTGAGAAATAAAAATGATTAAAATCAAATAAGAAATTCTTATTTTCATTTATTTCCACTTCATGTTTATTTTATTCCGCTGGCTATTGGAAATCAACTTGAACTAGGTTCTTTATTTAGTTACCAGTATCTGCAGTGTATATGCTTGTCTCTGAGGTGTTCTGCATTTCTGAATTATTTAGTGTTAAATAATACACAAGTTATGAGTTAGACTTTTTACTTGAATAAACAATTTTGTAAAAAAAAAATTAATGGCAAACTATAGCTTCAAAAGCTTGTTATAATTACAATTTTCTAAAATATACGTTTTAGGCTTCTGGAATTCCTAATATCACAAAACCAGTTAGTAGAATACAAACAGCTCAAATTCATGTCTTATTTTCAAAATAAATGCTACAAGGACATAAAAATGTTTGCATGTAGTTCAGGGAAATTTGGATGAAAATTTTATATATTACAAAACAAACTAAAAAGTAATGAATTAGCCATATAATTCACTAAAAAACATTTTAATGAACTTTGTAAATAATTATTTCAATTCTTTACTTCACTGAGAATGTGCAAACAAAATCCTAGGAGTAAGAAAGTGAAGATAACAAGTAATTGTGTAATATATACATCCATTCATAGATTTGAGAGTTTTACTTTTCTTAGCATATATAAACTGTTTGGTATTTTATTTCATATGCTAGCAAAATTTAAGTTTCTGGTTTTTATAAACTGGCTTATAAAAAGGCTCAGAAATTCCATGGACGTCAAATACCTTTTAAAACACTGTACTTTTAGGAACTGAGTGTAAACGAATCAAAACTGTATGGCTATCATTTCCTCCAAATGAAATGCACATGTTGGAAACACAAAAGAAGAAGTCCTGAACAGAACTCCTGTAAAAATAGCCTCTAGGTTTCTACAGTTGATCTGATTTTTTTCTGGTACTGAGAAAATACAGACCAACAGGGAGACCTGCTGCTGTTCTTCCTAGATTGAAGGTCTACTTGCTGAAGATTTAGGGAAATGGATGAAAATTTTTAGTAATTTCATTTCATCAAATTGCTTATCTTTATAGATTGTGCCTGTGTAAAACAAATGCTTCCAGCCATTTTCTTCTTTATAGTTAGAGTAGCTATAATCAGAACATGAAAAGAAATGTGTGGTGTGAGCACGATTTGGAGTGAGAAAGACATTTAGAATAAGATAGGCCCTCAATATTACTGGAAACAAAACTTTAATGAAAACTCTATTTAAAATTCTTCCTGTGGTAAATATGTTTCACTCTGTAAAATGAATGTCTATATACACATGCCCCTTAGTTTATTCCTTCCAAAATGAATGTTTATTTATTTTTGCTTTAGGTGCCTGTGCTTTTGAGGTCATATAAAAAAATCATTGCTCAGATCAGTGTCAATATATTTTTTTTTTGCTGTGGTTTCTTCTAATAGTTTTGAAGTTTCAGGTCTTATGTTAAGTCTTTAATCCATTTTGAGTGCATTTTTAAATATGGTTGGGAGATAATTGCCCAATTTCATTCTTCTGCATGTGGACAGACAGTTGTCTCAACACCACTATTGAACAGACTGTATTTCTCCATTGCATGGTCTTGGCTCATTTATTAAAGATCAACTGACTATATATATATGGATTTATTTCTGGGCTCTTCTACTCTATTGCATTGGTCTATATGCCTGTTTTTATGCCAGTACTATACTGTTTGATTAGCATAGCTTTATAGAGTGTTTTGAAATCAGCTAGTAGGATGCCTCCAGCTTTATTCTTTTTGCTCAAGACTGCTATGTCTTTTGGGGCCTCTTGTGATACTACATGAATTGTAGGATTTTTTTTTTCCTATTTCTATAAAATATGTTTTTAGAATTTTGATAGAAATTGCATTCGATCATTAGATTGCTTTGGGTAATATGGACATTTTAACAATACAAATTCTTCCAATCTGAGAACATGAGATAAATTCCCATTTGTTTCTGTCTTCAATTTATTTCATCAATGTTTTATAGTTTTTAGTGTACAGATCTTTCACATCATGGGTTAAATTTATTTATGAGTATTTTTATGCTGTTAATGAGACTTTTTCAATTTCTTTATTGTTACTGTGCAGAACACTATTGATTTTGGTATGTTAATTTGTATCCTGAAACTGAATTTGTTTACTAGTTCTAAAATTTTTTGATGGAGTCACATGTAAGATCAGGACATGTATAAACAGGGACAATTTAACCTTTTCCTTTCTAATTTGAGTAACTTTTATTTTTCTTGCACAACTACTCTGGCAAGTACATCTAACACTTTGTTGAATAGAAGTGGTGAAAGTGAGGGGCATTCGTGCCTTGGTCTTGATCTTGAAGAAAAGCTTTCAGCTTTCACCATTGAGTATTATGTTTAGCTGTGGGCTTGTCATATTTGGCCTTTATTATGTTGAAGTACATTCCTTCTAACCTAGTTTGTTGAGTAATTTTATCTTAAAATGATGTTGGATTTTGTCAATGCCTTTTCTGCATCCATTGAGATGACTGTATTATTTTTACTTTTCATTCTTTTAATGTGGTGTATCACATTTACTGATTTGCATATGTTGAACTCTCTTTGCGTCCTTGGAATAAATCCCACCTGATCATGTGTACGATTCTTTTAACGTGCTGTTGAATTTGGTTAGCCAGTAGTTAAGAATTTTTATATCCAAGTTCATCAGTAATATTAACCAGTCATTTTTTCTTGTAATGTCCTTGTTTGGCTTTGGTGTCAGGGTAATGCTGGCCACATAAAATGAGTTTTCAAGTGTTCCCTTTTCTCCAATTTATTGCAAGAGTTTGAGAAGGATTGGTGTTAATTCTTTAAAGGTTTGTTGGAATTCACCGTTGAAGGCATCAGGTCCTTGGCTTATTTTCTTGAGAATTTTTTGATTACCAATTCAATCTCTACTCATTCATTATTGGTCTGTTCAGATTTTCTGTTTCCTCATGATTCAGTCTTGAGAGGTTTTATGTTTCTAGGAATTTATCCATTCATTTTAGGTTATCAAATGTATTGGAATACAAGTGTTTATAGTAGCTCATTTTATTCTTGGTGTTTCTGCGGTATCAGTTGTAATATCTACCATAGCATCCCATTCTCAATTATAAGTATATTGTCTTTTATAATTGGGTTAGAATATATAGAAGAATAATCTAAATGTACAGTTAACTTTTTTGCTTTAATGCTTCCAAACATCCAGATTCAATCAATATTTGTGGTTCACTACTTTCTAAGAGTTGCGTAATGTGTTTTCATATTCATTATGTTATTTCTACCCACAACCCAGAAAGGCCAATAATCAAATTTTAATAGTATAAATTATAATATTGAAGTTCAGATTGATTAAATGATATATAAAAATTTACAGATAAAGTGAATAGCAAGAACTCAAATTCTGATATTCTGAATACAAGAAACATGTTTCTTTTATGGCATCATCCTAAAAAACACACAAGGCAATTGGTAGAATAAAATACATTGCTAGCTGTTTGAATTTCACTAAAGTTGAAATTTTATTAGGTATTTCATTTGGTTTTTGAATATATTTCATTTAAAAGCACTAAAAATATAGCCCATAAAACAGCAATTGTTTACCCCATTAAACAATCAAACCAAAAGTATTTTAAACAAACTTGAAGTACTAACAAATTCCGAAAGTAAAAAGTATAAACATTAAAAAACCTCCTACTCTCAATGACATTTAAATAACCTTGATTAATATATTGGCTTTTTTTTTCTCCTGAGTTTATGCTTTGCAAAACTTTTTATCTTCCTATTTCAGTTGATTCACTCACCACACTTTGAAATATATATTCATGGTTAATTAGCTATGAGTCAAAAATTGGGGACAGCAAAATAATTTTGCAAAACAATCACATTTTAAAATCAGCTTTTTGATAAATCACCTTCAAAATATGTAACATTTTTAATCTGATAAATTAGTTGTCTGTTTAAAGTACATTAATTAGATCTATTTCTAAGCTTTTTAATTAATGTATTTATTATTATTTATATTTTCAAACTGGTTTTGCTGAAATACTTTGTGTGTATCAGCAACCTCATATTTGAATACCTAATATATTCTAAGCTCTATGTTACAGAATGGTGATGCAAATAAATGATTTTGCACACACACAAATAATAAGATATAGGGCTTGTGGTAGGACTTAAAATAGGAATAAATAGAAACCACAAAACACTATTGCATGGTAAGAAACAAATAAGTAGACAGATGCAATGTGACCTAAGAGTTTAGAGAAGAGACAATTGTCTACTAGGGTAGCAACAGAGGTTTTATGGAGATGCTTGGGCTTAATACAAATCTTGATTGAAAAAAAATCTCAGTAATTGGAAAAAATAAGAGCTACTTTTCCAGAGGGAAAAAAATATTTATGTGACCAAAAGTAAAGGGTAGAGTGAACATGGAATATCTGGACAAGGGTGGCCCAATAACCCATGTGGGTTTAAAGGAAGATGTTGCACAGCAATAATTGAGGAATAATTTGGCACATATGGAGGGCTTTTGTTAGAACAATTCATACAGGATTGTCTAGAGAATATATGGCCTTAAAATATTTCAAGAAGAGTAATACTGCTGCATTACTGAAAAGCGGTATTTTTTAAAATTAATGAAGTAAGGACATGCTATAGTGTGGATGTTTGTCTCCCAAAACTCATGTTGAAATTTTATCCCCAGTGTTAGATGTGGAGCCTAACGGGAGGTGTTTTGTCCATGGAGGCAAATTCCTCATGAACGTCTTGGTACACTCCTTGCTGTAGTGAGTGGGTCGTTACTCTGTCAGTACCCTGGAGAGCTGGTTGTTTAAAAAAGCATGGAATCTCCTGCCTCTCTCTCTTGCTAGCTCTCTTGCCCATAAGGTTTCTGCATATGCTGGCTCCCTTATGCCTTCTGCCATGAGTGGAAGCAGTGTGAGACCCTCATCAAAACCATATGTGGACAGCATGCATCTTGTACAGCCTGCAAAAACATGAGACACTTTTTCCTATAAATTACCCAGACTCAGGCATTCCTTTATGGCAACACAAATTGTCTAAGACAGGAATTGTAGAAGAGAAAGTATGGTGGAAAAACTAGATACTGAGAATCTTTCCTGTAGGAAAGCAGCTAACAAAATTAAAAAAAAAACAAAAAAACAAAACAAAACAAAAAAAAGATATGAGCTGTTGAGTAGAGCTGATAGTGAACAATAACAGAAAGAGAACATATAGAAAAAGGGAAGAAAAATTGACAGTGATTGTTAGAATGCTGTTAGCCAGAGGCTTTGGGAGACATATCATTAGCCTTAATCATTGGACAAGCAGTGATAGAATTGTTGGAATTTTGATAAAGCAGACTTTGTCTTCTTTGTCCCTTCTTTAAACTGCCACAGAACACTTTGAATTCAAATTGACAACACTTTAAGGCACAAGTGGAACTTTTCAACAAGCATTTTGAGTGACAGAGGAGTGTAGGAGATACTGAGTTAGAGCCACTCATGAGTAAATTCCTCTAGAAGTGAATGTTTACATTGTGAGATAAGCTTGCCATTTATAATAGAAATGGAAATATTATGGCTTTTGAGCAGTGAAACAATAGGGCCAGCAAAGTAAAAGGAGAATGGAAAAGGCATGGTAGGAATTATGAGGCAGCCTTTGGAGTCAAGTTGCCTGGGTTCCAATTTTAACTCCACCACCTCTTAGAATACGGTCTTGTACAAGTTACTCAACTTCTTTGTGTGAGTTTCCTCATCCCTAAACTGAGGATAATATCAGTTAAGTATTTCATGAAGTTGAGATTAGGCTTAGCTGCTTTAATACATACAAAGCACTCATAACAATGTCAGGCTCATGAAAAAGACTCATGAAATCTTCTTTACACACACCAAAAAAACTGAGGTGAATTTCAAAAGGAAAAGAGGTATTCAATACCATTGGCAGTGAGGAAAAGCTATTCTTTCAAAAAAAATTTTTAATAAGTAAAACATCAAACACTTTTCTCTTAATTTTTGAAAAAGAAGCATGAAGAAACAACATAATTGGCAACGATGATGGGTAGACAGGAGCTTATAGTAATTTTAATAATATTTTAATTAAATTTAACATTAAATCGACTTTAAATTTAATATAGATTTTAATAATAATTTTAATAAGGAAGCATATTTACAAAGATCTTTAGATATGTATTTTTACAACATGTCTTTTTCAGTTCTTTTAAAATAGCTTTCAGTAATTGTTCATTTAGTTTGGTGTTTAGAGAAGCGGTACTATAAAATCCCTAAATTATATAGTTTTAGCTTAAAAGACCTACTAATAAGGCTAGATATATATTGACTGGGTAAATACACCTGACATTCTGAATTTAAGGAATGATCCATCCTTCCTTTCCTGCTTATGGCAGTTGATTCATATTATAAAATTCATCAATCATCTGTCCAAAAAATATCAAAGCAATACACATTTCTTGCATGAACATCATGAAAGAGACATTGCACAATTTCTACGAAAAGATAGAGAATTTTGTATTCAATCACTGACAAGAATGTCTATTTCTATAGGGGTCACAAAATAAACCTTGTGCATAGTAAATAACAATAACTCATTTAGTTGAGAGCTTGGCAATAATGAAGCATCTTAAACATATATACAATTTATAAGAAGTAGTTAAGGAATGGAAAAGAAGGAAACACTTCATGTTTTGAAGTGTACTCCATATAATTTTGACAGAACAAATGAGTCTTAGTTTGACCTCAGACGCGGGACTGAGTCTGATCAGACAGAGAAAAGAAATGGGGATTGTCCAGGAGATAATATGACATAAAGATGATTAAAAACCATGGATTTCACAGAGGAGTGCTTTGCCAAAAATTATCTTATCATGTATATACATATATATGACATATGTATGAGATATATATATATATATAAATGAGATGTAAATAAATTAGATTTATACATATAAAACTTTACACTTTGACATTGGTCCTTTACTCTCTCCCTAACAAAGTAAAGACATTTCTTAATGCCTTTCATTAGTCTACAATTATTATTAAATAAAAATCAGGTATACATTTAGAAATAAGTAACAGACATTTATTTGTCAGCAAAATATCAAATAGCTAAAACAATTTTCAACATATGGAGTATTTAAACCTATTCACTGTAAAATGTCCACTTCACATGACCCTGAGAAAGGTTAGCTTTTGTCGCCTTATGCTGGAGATGTTCATAATGTCAATAATAATGGTCTACTCTTGATGCATAGACAACTAAGATTAGTTGCTTCTGAATTTTGCACTTGCTATAATCTAGCACTGAAAACATGTTTCTATTGTAATTTAAATTTAATGGAATATAAACTCATCAAATACTGTCAAAGTCTCATTATTTGGCTTGTTGCAGAAAAGGCTGATGATTACCACTGAACATATTTGTATATTTTAATTGCTATTTATCTCAAAACTTTCAACTGTGTATAAAAACAAAGGAAAACAATTAAAATATCAGCAGAGGTTGGCAGAGCAGAGTGGATAGCTATTGTCAGCAATAAACTATCAACACAGTCAGTAATAGGAAAATGTACTATGGTCCAGTAATCATGTGAGAAGAAAGAGTGTGTAGTCATTTTTCTCATAAATTAATGCCTCCCAGAAATTTCCATAGTGTTCTAAGTTTATTAGTATGCGACATACAAACTCATGTGTGTATGACAGTATGGGGTGTGTACATACGTGCACATACAGACATATATGTATCTTAATATTGGCTGCTTCTTATTTTTCAGCAGCTCATTTGAGATAGTCACTTTTTA